>NC_000001.11:118341713-118644744 GCF_000001405.40 Homo sapiens | reverse complement strand
TTCTAACTACTGGATCCAGAAACATCTATGCCAAATAACATGTGATTTATTTGGCACTATCTATTTAAAATGTTATTCAAAAAGTAGTCACAAAATATTCTGCTGACATATAAATCAGAAAAATAATCCTTCAAGTGATTTTTAAAAGTCTAAACATATCCATGGACATGAAACTTTATCTTCAATAGCTCATTTATGTATGAGCGAAGGAGTAACTGAAAGAAAGACAATTCCAAAAATATCAAAATTTTACATTGTATTAGGGATATACTATTTTTATGATAATGATGTAAGTATACAATGCTTATTATATCAATTTCCCCCAACATATCTAATTAAATGTTAAATCACTAATTAAAAAATATCAATTTGAAGGTGACTCGGAATATTAGCTTTATCATTGTTGATTAGATTGGTAGAAGTCAGTTTTCAGAGAAAGCTAAATCTAGTTTCAGATATGGTAAGTTAGAGGTACCCAAGGGACACTGAGATGAAGAATTCAGCAAAATGGTTGTCAGCATGGACTTTGGAGCCTGACTGTCTCAATTCCAATGCTGGCTCTACCAGTTATAAGTTGTGCGGCCTGGGGCAAGTTATACAACCTATAAAATCATTTTTTAAAAAATCTATGTCAATTTATTTATTTAGAGTTGGTTTACCACCACCAGAGAGCGTTTCTTCAGACCAAGAACCTGTTGTCTATTCACCATAGCTGATTTCTGTGCCCAGAAAAATGTTTTTAGTAAGAAGTTATTAAATGTATGAAAGGCTATTGGGACTTTAACTCTTCTTCTGTATAGAATATTCACTAAACTTAGTGGTAGAAACCTTTTTTTTTATTATTACACTTTAAGTTTTAGGGTACATGTGCACAATGGGCAGGTTTGCTACATATGGATACATGTGCCATGTTGGTGTGCTGCACCCATCAACTCGTCATTTAGCATTAGGTATATCTCCTAATGCTATCCCTCCCCCCTCCCCCCACCCCACAACAGGCCCTGGTGTGTGATATTCCCCTTCCTGTGTCCATGTGTTTTCATTGTTCAATTCCCACCTATGAGTGAGAACATGTGGTGTTAGGTTTTTTGTCCTTACGATACTTTGCTGAGAATGATGGTTTCCAGCTTCATCCATGTCCCTACAAAGGACATGAACTCATCATTTTTTATGGCTGCATAGTATTCCATGGTGTATATGTGCCACACCTTCTCAATCCAGTCTATCACTGTTGTACATTTGGGTTGGTTCCAAGTCTTTGCTATTGTGAATAGTGCTGCAATAAACATACGTGTGCATGTGTCTTTATAGCAGCGTGACTTATAATCCTTTGGGTATATACCCAGTAATGGGATGGCTGGATCAAATGGTATTTCTAGTTCTAGATCCCTGAGGAATCGCCCCACTGACTTCCACAATGGGTGAACTAGTTTACAGTCCCACCAACAGTGTAAAAGTGTTCCTATTTCTCCACAACCTCTCCAGCACCTGTTGTTTCCTGACTTTTTAATGATTGCCATTCTAACTGGTGTGAGATGGTATCCCATTGTGGTTTTGATTTGCATTTCTCTGATGGCCAGTGATGATGAGCATTTTTTCATGTGTTTTTTGGCTGCATAAATGTCTTCTTTTGAGAAGTGTCTGTTCATATCCTTCACCCACTTTTTGATGGGGTTGTTTGTTTTTTCTTGTAAATTTGTTTGAGTTCATTGTAGATTCTGGATATTAGCCTTTTGTCAGATGAGCAGGTTGCAAAAATTTTCTCTCATTCTGTAGGTTGCCTGTTCACTCTGATGGTAGTTTCTCCTGCTGTGCAGAAGCTCTTTAGTTTAATTAGATCCCATTTGTCAACTTTGGCTTTTGTTGCCATTGCTTTTGGTGTTTTAGACATGAAGTCCTTGCCCATGCCTATGTCCTGAATGGTATTGCCTAGGTTTTCTTCTAGGGTTTTTATGGCTTTAGGTCTAACATGTAAGTCTTTAATCTATCTTGAATTAATTTTTGCATAAGGTGTAAGGAAGGGATCCAGTTCCAGCTTTCTACATATGGTTAGCCAGTTTCCCCAGCACCATTTATTAAATAGGGAATCCTTTCCTCATTGCTAGTTTTAGTCAGGTTTGTCAAAGATCAGATAGTTGTAGATATGTGGCATTATTTCTGGGGGCTCTGTTCTGCTCCATTGGTCTATATCTCTGTTTTGGTACAAGTACCATGCTGTTTTGGTTACTGTAGCCTTGTAGTATAGTTTGAAGTCACGTAGCATGATGCCTTCAGCTTTGTTATTTTCGCTTATGATTGACTTGGCAATGTGGGCTCTTTTTTGGTTCCATATGAACTTTAAAGTAGTTTTTTCCAATTCTGTGAAGAAAGTCACTGGTAGCTTGATGGGGATGGCATTGAATCTATAAATTACCTTGGACAGTATGGCCATTTTCACGATATTGATTCTTCCTACCCATGAGCATGGAATGTTCTTGCGTTTGTTTGTATCCTCTTTTATTTCATTGAGCACTGGTTTGTAGTTCTCCTTGAAGAGGCCCTTCACATCCCTTGTAAGTTGGATTCCCAGGTACTTTATTCTCTTTGAAGCAATTGTGAATGGGAGTTCACTCATGATTTGGCTCTGTTTGTCTGTTATTGGTGTATAAGAATGCTTGTGATTTTTGTACATTGATTTTGTATCCTGAGTCTTTGCTGAAGTTGCTTATCAGCTTAAGGAGATTTTGGGCGGAGACAATGGGGTTTTCTAGATACATAATCATGTCATCTGCAAACAGGGACAATTTGACCTCCCCTTTTCCTAATTGAATGCCCTTTATTTCCTTCTCCTGCCTGATTGCCCTGGCCAGAGCTTCCAATACTATGTTGAATAGGAGTGGTCAGAGAGGGCATCCCTATCACGTGGCAGTTTTCAAAGCGAATGCTTCCAGTTATTGTCCATTCAGTATGATATTTGCTGTGGGTTTGTCATAGATAGCTCTTATTATTTTGAGATACATCCTATCAATAGCTAATTTATTGAGAGTTTTCAGCATGAAGGTTGTTGAATTTTCTCAAAGGCCTTTTCTGCATCTATTGAGATAATCATGTGGTTTTTGTCTTTGGTTCTGTTTATATGCTGGATTATGTTTATTGATATGCTGGATTATGTTTATTGTATGTTGAACCAGCCTTGCATCCCAGGGATGAAGCCCACTTGATCATGGTGGCCAAGCTTTTTGATGTGCTGCTGGATTGGGTTTGCCAGTATTTTATTGAGGATTTTTGCATCAATGTTCATCAAGGATATTGGCCTAAAATTCTCTTTTTTTGTTGTGTCTCTGCCAGGCTTTGGTATCAGGATGATGCTGGACTCATAAAATGAGTTAGGGAGGATTCCCTCTTTTTCTATTGATTGGAATAGTTTCAGAAGGAATGGTACCAGCTCCTCCTTGTACCTCTGGGAGAATTCGGCTATGATTCCATCTGGTCCTGGACTTTTCTTGGTTGGTAAGGTATTAATTATTGCCTCAATTTCAGAGCCTGTTATTGTTCTATTCAGAGATTCAACTTCTTCCTGGTTTAGTCTTGGGAGGGTGTATGTGTCGAGGAATTTATCCATTTCTTCTAGATTTTCTAGTTTATTTGTGTAGAGGTGTTTATAGTATTCTCTGATGGTAGTTTGTATTTCTGTGGGATCGGTGGTGATATCCCCTTTATCATTTTTTATTGTGTCTATTTGATTCTTCTCTCTTGTCTTCTTTATTAGTCTTGCTAGCGGTCTATCAATTTTGTTGATCTTTTCAAAAAACCAGCTCCTGGATTCATTGATTTTTTGAAGGGTTTTTTGTGTCTCTATTTCCTTCAGTTCTGCTCTGATCTTAGTTATTTCTTGTCTTCTGCTAGCTTTTGAATGTGTTTGCTCTTGCTTTTCCAGTTCTTTTAATTGTGATGTTAGGGTGTCAATTTTGGATCTTTCCTGCTTTCTCTTGTGGGCATTTAGTGCTATAAATTTCCCTCTACACATTGCTTTAAATGTGTCCCAATGATTCTGGTATGTTGTGTCTTTGTTCTCATTGGTTTCAAAGAACATCTTTATTTCTGCCTTCATTTATTTATGTACCCAGTAGTCATTCAGGAGCAGGTTGTTCAGTTTCCATGTAGTTGAGTGGTTTTGAGTGAGATTCTTAATCCTGAGTTCTAGTTTGATTGCACTGTGGTCTGAGAGACAGTTTGTGATAATTTCTGTTCTTTTACATTTGCTGAGGAGTGCTTTACTTCCAAGTATGTGGTCAATTTTGGAATAGGTGTAGTGTGGAGCTGAAAAGAGTGTATATTCTGTTGATTTGGGGTGGAGAGTTCTGTAGATGTCTATTAGGTCCGCTTGGTGCAGAGCTGAATTCAATTCCTGGATATTCTTGTTAACTTTCTGTCTCGTTGATCTGTCTAATGTTGACAGTGGGGTGTTAAAGTCTCCCTTTATTATTGTGTGGGAGTCTAAGTCTCTTTGTAGGTCACTCAGGACTTGCTTTATGAATCTGGGTGCTCCTATATTGGGTGCATATATATTTAGGATGCTTAGCTCTTCTTGTTGAATTGATCCCTTTACCATTAAGTAATGGCCTTCTTTGTCTCTTTTGATCTTTGTTGGTTTAAGGTCTATTTTATCAGAGACTAGGATTGCAACCCCTGCCTTTTTTTGTTTTCCATTTGCTTGGTAGATCTTCCTCCATCCTTTTATTTTGAGCCTATGTGTGTCTCTGCATGTGAGATGGGTTTCCTGAATACAGCACACTGATGGGTCTTGACCCGTTATCCAATTTGCCAGTCTGTGTCTTTTAATTGGAGCATTTAGTCCATTTACATTTAAAGTTAATATTGTTATATGTGAATTTGATCCTGTCATTATGATGTTAGCTGGTTATTTTGCTCATTAGTTGATGCAGTTTCTTCCTAGCCTCGATGGTGTTTACAATTTGGCATGATTTTGCAGTGGCTGGTACTGGTTGTTCCTTTCCATGTTTAGCGCTTCCTTCAGGAGCTCTTTTAGGGCAGGTCTGGTGGTGACAAAATCTCTCAGCATTTGCTTGTCAGTAAAATATTTTATTGCTCCCTTCACTTATGAAGCTTAGTTTGGCTGGATATGAAATTCTGGGTTGAAAATTCTTTTCTTTAAGAATGTTGAATATTGGCCCCCACTCTCTTCTGGCTTGTAGAATTTCTGCTGAGAGATATGCTGTTAGTCTGATGGGCTTCCCTTTGTGGGTAACCCGACCTTTCTCTCTGGCTGCCCTTAACATTTTTCCTTTCATTTCAACTTTGGTAAATCTGACAATTATGTGTCTTGGAGTTGCTCTTCTCGAGGAGAATCTTTGTGGCATTCTCTGTATTTCCTGAATCTGAATGTTGGCCTGCCTTGCTAGGCTGGGGAAGTTCTCCTGGATAACATCCTGCAGAGTGTTTTTCAACTTGGTTCCATTCTCCCCGTCACTTTCAGGTACACCAATCAGACATAGATTTGGTCTTTTCACATAGTCCCATATTTCTTGGAGGTTTTGTTTGTTTCTTTTTATTCTTTTTTCTCTAAACTTCTCTTCTTGCTTCATTTCATTCATTTCATCTTCCTTCGCTGATACCCTTTCTTCCAGTTGATCGCATCAGCTACTGAAGCTTGTGCATTCATCACGTAGTTCTCGTGCTGTGGTTTTCAGCTCCATCAGGTCCTTTAAGGACTTCTCTGCATTGGTTATTCTAGTTAGCCATTCATCTAATTTTTTTTCAAGGTTTTTAACTTTTTTGCCATTGGTTCAAACTTCCTCCTTTAGCTCAGTGTAGTTTGATCTGAAGCCTTCTTCTCTCAACTCGTCAAAGTCATTGTCCATCCAGCTTTGTTCTGTTGCTGGTGAGGAGCTGCGTTCCTTTGGAGGAGGAGAGGCACTCTGATTTTTAGAGTTTCCAGCTTTTCTGCTCTGTTTTATTCCCCATCTTTGTGGTTTTATCTACCTTTGGTCTTTGATGATGATGACGTACAGATGGGTTTTTGATGTGGATGTCCTTTCTGTTTGTTAGTTTTCCTTCTAACAGTCCGGACCCTCAGCTGCAGGTCTGTTGGAGTTTGCTGGAGGTTCACTCCAGACCCTATTTGCCTGGGTATCAGCAGCGGTGGCTGCAGAACAGTGGATATTGGTGAACTGCAAATGCTGCTGCCTGATCATTCCTCTGGAAGTTTTGTCTCAGAAGAGTACCCAGCTGTGTGAGGCATCAGTCTGCCCCTACTAGGGGGTGCCTCCCAGTTAGGCTACTCGGGGGTCAAGGACCCACTTGAGGAGGCAGTCTGCCAGTTCTCAGATCTCAAGCTGCGTGCTGGGAGAACCACTACTGTCTTCAAAGCTGTCAGACAGGGACATTTAAGTCTGCAGAGGTTACTGCTGTCTTTTGTTTGTCTGTGCCCTGCCCCCAGAGGTGGAGCCTACAGAGGCAGGCAGCCCTCCTTGATCTGTGGTGGGCTCCACCCAGTTCGAGCTTCCTGGCTGCTTTATTTACCTACTCAAGCCTTGGCAATGGCAGGCCCCCCTCCCCTGGCCTTGCTGCTGCCTTGCAGTTTGATCTCAGACTGCTGTGCTAGCAATGAGCGAGGCTCCATGGGCGTAGGACCCTCCAAGGCATGTGCAGGATATAATCTCCTGGTGTGCCATTTGATAAGTCCATTGGAATAGCGCAGTATTCAGGTGGGAGTGATCCGATTTTCCAGGTGCCATCTGTCCCCTCTTTCTTTGGCTAGGAAAGGGAATTCCCTGACCACTTGCACTTCCCAGGTGAGGCGATGCCTCACCCTGCTTTGGCTCACGCACAGTGCGCTGCATCCACTGTCCTGCACCCACTGTCCAGCACTCTCCAGTGAGATGAACCCGGTACCTCAGTTGGAAATGCAGAAATCACCCGTCTTCTGCGTCGCTCATGCTGGGAGCTGTAGACTGGAGCTGTTCCTATTCAGTCATCTTGGCTCCACCCCGGACAACCTATACAATCATTTAGGTTGTTTGACTAGCTGGGAAACTTCAAATTTTTTAGTCTTATGTTAGTACCTCAATTTTCCTCCTGTATACCAACTTCATAGGATTGTAATGGGAATTAAATGAACTAGCATTTGCAAAGCTTAGATCCTAGAATGTAGAAAGCACTACTTAAATGTTTGTTAAATAAATGTGTGGGATCTGAAACTGAAATGAGGTCTTGGCTGGAGGCAGGAGTTTGAATGCCATCAGCATATGATTGTAGCTGAAACTCCAAGATAACGTAGGATAATGTTGATGAGGATTATCATGCCCAGTGACAAAAGTGGGCCAGGGACAGAATCTTCAGAAACATTAACATTTAAGGAGTAGCTACAGCTAGCAGATCCAACAAACGAAACGAGGAAAGAAAAGCCATAAGCAAGGGGAAACTATAAAGAGAAAGCGTTATCTCAGAAGTCACACAGAATGAAAATGGAAATGGACGGTAATGCCAAATGGCACACAGACACTAAAAAGCATTTACTAAATTTGGCATTTTGAAAATCATTAAAGTTATTTTACTGGAATGGGTTCAATAGTGTGAGCTACTTGGGCAAAGAGGTATTGCTGTGGGGTGACTAGTGGGACAAAGCGAGAGCAAGTAGAAATTGTGAATGTAGGCTGTTGGGAGACACTTGCTAAAAACAGAAGAAGAATAGCAACTACAAGAAGATATTTGATGAGGGGAAGTATTTATTTTCCTTTTCCTCAGTTTTTTGGTTTTTTTTTTTTAGAGGGATTTATATATGGTCTATGGGGAAGGTGATAGTAGAAAGGAAGAGAAAGCAACCAACAGAGCCATGTCCTGGAGGAGACAGCAAGGAATCAGTTACAGAGCATGGGTAGATAGACTGCTCTAGACAAGTGAGAGAACCTATTATTTAAAACTGAAAGAAGGAGATCAGAATAATAATAATAATAATAAAAGGCAGATAGGAGGCAGGACTAACTTGCAGCTCTCACTCAGATGGACAGAACAATGTGTAGAAACTCATGTCATGAGCTTTTCCTCCAAGAACTACTGCAGGAAGATACCAGGAAAAACAAAAGAATTCACAGACCCTTTGAAAGAAGTAGCTTGCCACTGCAAACTCCGTGAGACAGCCAAAAAACTACCAGTGCCTAAAATGTGAGAGGGGGGGAAAAGTCAGCTTGTGACCACACATACCTACTGCGGAACCTAAAAATCCAGATCACAGGAGAAGGATTTCACTTTACCTAGAGCTGAAATCATTTTAGAGAGCCAAGCAAAATATGAAAGTAGTAGAAGCAGTGGGAAGATCCCTGTAGGCACTCCCAGTCCCCAGAGAAGCCCAGGGAAACCATTCCTGACTTTATCTCACAGAGGTCCTTGGGGAGGGCAGCCAGTGGAACTGGGAAAGGGCCACAGGGAGAAGGAAACTCCCAGCTGAACCTGGTAATAATTTTGAATGAGTGCAATTAATCCTGGGCAGAATCCAGGGGAGTGGGGGGTGGCCAAATGGGAAGTGCAGATATGCACACAGAAGCTGTAGCAGGCAGGGAGGGGTGAGGCCTGAAAGCCCTGTTTGCTTTCTCAGTAGGGTGACTTGTAGCCTGGGGCAAGATCTTATCCCTGCTCACCAGCTACCTGGATATAAACTTGATGTTATTGGTCTGGCAAGATGGGAGTGAAACTGGCCTTGCTGGCTGAGTGGGAGCTGGGTGAGGCCTGTCACTGCCATCTTTTCACCACTTCCCTGGCAACCTGTATGATGCAGGAGAGGCAGCCATAATCCCCGTGGGAACATAATTACATTAGCCTGAGAACCATATCCCATCCCCCACAGCAGCTGCAGCAAGCCCCACCCAAGGAGAGTCTGGGCTCAGACATGTCTATCCCTGTCCCCACCTAATGGCCTTTCTCTATCCACCCTGGTAGCTGAAGACAAAAGACACAATGTATTGGGAGCTCTATGTCCCCACCCATTACCTGAGAAACCCAAATACTTATCCAGTCAACCTTAGGGCAAGCTTGTATCGCCCCATACTACCACAGCTGATGCTCTCTTGAAAGTGCCACCTCCTGGCTAGAGGCCACCCAACCCAACCATTACAGCAACTCATAAAAGAACAGCCCACTCAGGAAAGGAGAAAACCACACCAATTCTATCACCTGTAATATCCTGGCTAACCAGAGGTCATGTCTGTGCACATGACAATATCACTGTTACCATAACCAGCATTAGAGAAACCAGCACACTGAACAAAACTGAAACCAAGGACTCTCAAAGAGTCCACTTCACTCTCCTGCCACCTCAACCAGAGCAGGTTCTGGTAACCATGGCTGAGAAACCTGAAGACAAATAAAATCACAGCACTCTTTGCAGACACACCCCAGTACCATCTTGGAGCCTGGTAGCTCCACTGGGTGGCTGAACCCAGAAGAGATATAACAATCACTGCAATTCAGCTCTCAGGAAGCCCCTTCCTCTAGGTAGTGGCTTGTACTGGAGGATCTGGGGCTCAAGGACTGCTGTTCAAATTCTTTTGTCCCACAGGGTGGTCCCTGGAGGAGCTCCCTAAAGAGGGGGCTCCTCCAGTCCCAAGCCACTACCTAGAGGAACCAGAACTGTTTTTCTGGTTACTTCTTATTTGGGTAGACTATGTCAGAGGGAAGATAAGGGACTCAAGAGCCATTGTTCAGATTCTTTTGTCCACTGGATGGCTAAACCCAGAAGAGATATAACAATCACTGAAGTTCAGCTCTCAGGAAGCCCCTTCCTCTAGCTAGTGGCTTGGGACTGGAGGAGCACCCTCTTTAGGGAGCTCCTCCAGGGAACACCCTGTTGAACAAAAGAATTTGAACAGCAATCTTGAGCCCCAGATCTTCCCTCTGACATAGTCTACCCAAATGAGAAGGAGCCAGAAAAATAACTCTGGTAATATGACAAAACAAGTTTCTTTAATATCTCCAAAGATCACACTAGCTCTCCAGCAATAGATCCAAACCAAGAAGAAATCTCTGAATTGCCAGAAAAAGAATTCAGCAGGTTGATTATTAAGCTACTTAAGGAGGCACCAAAGAAAGGTGAATACCAACTTAAAGAAATTTTAAATATGCTACAGGATATGGATGGAAAAATCTCCAGAGAAATGGGTAGCATAAATAAAAAACAATCACAACTTCTGGAAATGAAGGACACACAGAAATGCAAAGTACACTGGAAAGTCAAAAATAGAATCAAACAAATAGAAGAACTTCAGAGCTCAAAGACAAGGCTTTCAAATTAACTGAATCCAACAAGACAAAGAAAAAATATTTAAAAATGAACAAAGAAAGAAGTTTGGGATTATGTTAAATGATCAAATCTAAGAATAATTGGTGTTCCTGAGGAAGAAGAGAAATCTAAAAGTTTGGAAAACATATTTGAGGGAATAACTGTGGAAAACTTCTCTGGCCTTGTCCAAGATCTAGACATCCAAACAAACACAGAAAACCTGGCAAATTCTTCACAAAAAGATAATCATGTTGGCACATAGTCATCAGGTTATCTCAAGTCAAGATGAAGGAAAGAATCTTAAGAGCTGTGAGGAAAAAGCATCAGGTAACCTATAAAGAAAAACTTATCAGATTAACAGCAGATTTCTCAGCAGAAACCCTACAAGCTAGAAGGAATTGGGGTCCTATCTGTAGCTTCCTTAAACAAAACAATTATCAGCCAATAATTTTGTATCCAATGAAACTAAGCTTCATAAATGAAGGAGAAATAAAGTTATTTTCAGACAAACAAATGCTGAGAGAATTCACCACTACCAAGTCAGCACTACAAGAACTGCTAAAAGGAGCTCTAAATCTTGAAACAAAATCTCAAAATACACCCATATAGAACCTCCTTAAAGCATAACTCTCACAAGGCCTATAAACAGTAATGAAATGGGAAAGTAAATAAGGTATTTAGGTGACAACTGGCATGATGAATAGAATAGTACCTCATATCTCAATACTAATGTTGAATGCAAATGGCCTAAATGCTCCACTTAAAAGATACAGAATGGCCGGGTGGATAATAATTCACCAACAAAGTATTTGCTGTCTCTGAGAGACTCACCTAACACTTAAAGATTCACATATAGTTAAGGTAAAGGGATGGAAAAAGATATTCCATGCAAATGGACACCAAAAGTGATCAGGAGTAGCTATCCTTGTATCAGACAAAACAGACTTTAAAGCAACAACAGATAAAAAATACAAAGAAGGACATTACATAATGATATAAGAACTAATCCAATAGGAAAATATCACAATCCTAAATATATATGCACCTAACACTGGAGCTCCCAAATTTATAAAACAATTACTATGAAACCTAAGAAACGAGATAGACAGCAACACAATAATATTGAGGGAGTTCGATACTCCACTAACAGCACTAGCCAGGTCATCAAGGCAGAAAGTCAACAAAAACACAATGGACCTTAACTATACTCTAGAATAAATGGACTTTACAAATATTTACTGAACATTCTACCCAACAATTGCAGAATATACATTCTATTCATCAGCACATGGAACATTCTCCAAGATAGACCATATGATAGGCCGCAAAATACATCACAATAAATTTAAGAAAATCAAAATTATATCAAGTACTCTCAGATCACAGTGGAATAAAATTGGAAATCAACTCCAAAAGGAATTCTCAGAACCATGAAAATGCATGGAAATTAAATAATCTGTTCCTGAATGATCACTGAAATCAAGGTGAAAATTTAAGAAAATTTGAACTGAATGATAATAGTGACATGACCTATCAAAATCTCTGGGATAAAGCAAAACTGGTGCTAAAAGGATAGCTCATAGCATTACATGCCTACATTAAAAGTCTGAAACAGCACAAATAGACGATCTAAGGTCACACCTTAAGGAATTCGAGAAACAAGAACAAAACAAACCCAAACACAGAAGAAAAAAAGAAATAACAAAGATCAGAGAAAACTGAATGAAATTGACCCCAAAATTTACAAAAGATAAATGACACAAAAGTTGAGTTTTTGAAAAAATAAACAAAATTTATAGACCATTAGTGAAATTAACCAAAGACAGAGAAGATCCAAATAAGCTCAGTTAGAAATGAAATGGGAGATACTACAACTGATATCAAGAAATACAAAGGATCACTCAAGGATACTAGGAACACCTTTATGCACACAAACTACAAAACCTAGAGGAGATGGATAAATTCCTGGAAATATGCAACCCTCCTAGATTAAACAAGAAAGAAACATAAACTCTGAACAGACCAATAGCAAGCAGTGAGATCAAAATGGTAATGAAAAAAATTGGCAATAAAAAAATGTCCAGGACCAACTAGATTCACAGCTGAATTATATCAGACATTCAAAGAAGAACTGGTACCAATCCTGTTGACACTATTCCAAAAGATAGAGAAAGATGTGATCCTCCCTAAATCATTCTATGAAGCCAGTATCACCCTAATACCAAAACCAAGATAGAACATAACACAAAAGAAAACTACAGACCAATATCCCTGACAAACATAGATGCAAAAATCCTCAAGAAATACTAGCTAACTAGTATCAAAGCAAAAATCCACCATGATCAAATGGTTTTCACACCAGGAATGCAAAGATTGCCTAACATATGCAAGTCAATGTGATATACCACACAAACAGAATTAAAACAGAAATCACATGATCATCTCAATAGAGGCAGTAAAAGAATTTCACAAAATCTGGCATCCTTTTATGATTAAAACGCTCAGCAAAATTGGCATAGAAGCGACATACCTTCAACTAATAAAAGCCATCTATGACAAACCCACAGCCAATATTATACTGAACAGGGAAGAGTTGACAGCATTTCCCCTGAGGACTGGAATGGGACAAGGATCCCATCTTTCATCACCTCTATTCAACATAGTGTCGGGAATCCTAGCTAGAGAAATAAGTCAAGAGAAAGAAATAAAGGGCATCCTAATCAGTAAAGAGGAAGTCAGGCCATCACTGTTCACTGATAATATGATTATATACCTAGGAAACCCTAAAAACTCACTCATTCAAAAACCTCCCAGTTCTGACAAATAAATTCTGTAAAGTTTTAGGATACAAAATCAATGTACACAATCAGTAGCAGTGCTATACACCAACAGCAACCAAGGTAAGAACAAAATAAAATCTCAACCCCTTTTTCCCCCCTGCAAACAAACAAACAAGCAAAAAAAAAAAAACTTAGGAATATACCTAACCAAGGAAATGAAAGACTCCTACAAGGAAAACTACAAAACTCTACTGAAAGAAATCACAGACGACACAAATGGAAACACATCCCATACTCATGAATGGGTAGAATCAATATTGTCAAAATGACCATACTTCCAAAAGCAATCTACAAATTCAGTACAATTCCCATCAAAATACTATTTTTATTCTTCACAGAACTAGAAAACACAATTCTAAAATTCATCTGGAACCTAAAAAGAGCCTGCATAGCCAAGGCAAGACTAAGCAAAAAGAACAAATCTGGAGCCATCACATTACGTGACTTCAAATATACTGTTAAGGCTATAGTCAGTCAAACAGCATGGTACTGGCATAAAAATAGGCACACAAACCAATGGAACAGAATAAAGAACCCAGAAATAAAGCCAAATACTTGCAGCCAACTGATCTTTGACAAATCAAACAAAAACATTAAGTGGGGAAAGGACACCCTATTTAACAAATGGTGCTAAGATAATTGGCAAGCCACATATAGAAGAATGAAACTGGGTCCTCACGTCTCACCTCATACAAAAATCAACTCAATATGGATCAATGATTTAAATCTAAGACCTGAAACCTTAAACATTCTGGAAGACAACATCAGAAAAACCCTTCTAGACATTGGCTTAGGCAAAGACTTCATGACCAAGAACTCAAAAGCAAATGCAACAAAAACAAAGATAAATAGATGGGCCTTAATTAAACTAAAAAGCTTCTGCACAGCAGAAGAAATAATCAGTAGAATAAACAGACAACCCACAGAATGGGCAAAAATCTTCATAATCTATACGTCTGACAAAGGAGTAATTCCCAGAATATACAAGGAACTCAAACAAATCAGCAAGAAAAAATTGAGTAATCCCATCAAAAAGTGGGCTGAGGACATGAATAGACAATTCTCAAAAGAAGATATACAAATAGCCAAAAAACATGAAAAAAAATGCTAAACACTAATTATCAGGGAAATGCAAATCTAAACCACAGTGTGATACCACCTGACTCCTGCAAGAATAGCCATAGTTAAAATATCAAAAAATAATAGATGGGGTGATTGTGGTGAAAAGGGAACACTTTCACACTGTTAGTGGGAATGTAAACTAGTACAACTACTATGGAAAACGGTATAAAGATTCCTTAAGGAACTAAATGTAGATCTACCATTTGATCTAGCAATCCCACTACTGGGCATCTACCCAGAGGTAAAGAAGTCATTATATTAAAAAGACACTTGGACATACATGTTTATAGCATCACAATTTGCAATTGCAAAATATATGTATATATGTAATGGGATACTACTTGGCCATAAGAAGGAATGAAATAATGGCATTTGCAGCAACCCGAATGGAGTTGGAGACCATTATTCTAAGTGAAGTAACTCAGGAATGGTAAACCAAGCATCGTATGTTCTCACTTATAAGTGGGAGCTAAGCTATGAGGACGCAAAAGTCTAAGGATGATCCAATGGACTCTGAGGACTCTGGGGAAAGGGTGGGAGTGGGGCAAGGGATAAAAGACTACACATTAGGTAGTGTATACTCCTCAGGTGATGGGTGCACCAAAATCTCAGAAATCAACAGTAAAGAACTTTTCCATGTAACTAACCACCACCTGTTCCCCAAAAACCTATTGAAATAACAACAACAACAACAAAAAAAACTGAAGAAGAAGGGAGAATGGATGCAGCTAAAATTAGAGATAGAAAACTGAGAGATTTCCTAGCTCATTGATAACTATTTTCTGTGCTAGAAAAAACAATTGGTATTTTACCATGGGTTGCTGAACTAGAACACAGATAAATGTTGTTGTTGTTGAGAAAGTAAACACTTTGAGACTAGACTGTCTGATGGGTCATCCACATACACAGTGAAGTAGCCAAGGATGATGGCAGGGGTTGTAGTGGAAAGCGAGACAGGTCAATGACAGCACTGAAGAGTGGTAGAGGGTGGCATCGTCAGATAACATGAGCTTGAAAAGAAGGAGGAAGAAACATCTGATCTTCAGGAATGTGCAGGTTATTGTTTGCTCCTTCCCCTGCAAAACCAGTCTTCACTCCCATCGACCCAGTCTGAGGTCCTAGAAAGCTATTGCTTAAGGCCTACGTCACGCAGCCACTCTTTCAATTTGTTTATAGGTGGATTTAGCCAAAGCGAGTCGTGAGCAGAAGATTGGAAGGCAAGAGAAAAGACAGGTTGCTGTGTTTCTCTCAGGCTCCCTCCTTTATGCCAGCACCTATTCCAGTAGCACCTGAATTCTTCCAAGACTAGAGCCCCTGGGGAGTAGCCCTTCCCCAACATCTCACACTCTCACAGGATTCTGTAGACATATTTCTTCTCTGTGCCTTTTTAGCCCTAGAGGTGGTAATGCCTCCCCATTTTTGCTAATGTCTGCATGTCTTAATATCCCTTATTTTACCCCATAACCCACCTACTTCTCTGTAAGCAGTCAGTTATTAAAAGGCTTTCATTTAGCCAATACAAGTTCTTTCTCTTGCTTGCTGTGCCTCTCAGTGATACAAGAGGCAGTAGGGAATTGTTGAGAAAGCTTACATTACCTAGCAGCTACAAGTAGGTGAACTATGGGAGAACCAGCATTTTCTACTCCTGGGGTCTGCGGGGGTAGTGAAGTCAATAAACTGCTTCAGGAATAGTCAGGGGAAAATGTTGCACTAAGCTGGCCATAATTTGCTAAGGAGTAACAAGACCAAAGCTTTAGATTTGTCTCTAAATTTTGGATGAGAGAAGCAGAGATAAGTTAGAAGTAACGACTCTAAAAGTAGAAAGCCAAGGAAAAGTGAATTGTGCTGCATGGGTTAAAATTGAAACAAAGAATAATGACATAACTGAAAAACATAAAGGAACAAGGAACTATCAAATATTTGGACATAATTAACAACAGGTGGTCTTAATCTGCTATGGGGTGGGAACTGGAAATTGTCTATTTTGTTTATCATAGGCAAATTATTTTGGCCAGAGACCAGAGTTAATTTTCTCCTTTTTTTGTTTGCTCAGGTTTCCCAGTCAGCCGCTTATTGTGAAAAGCTGTTCTGATGTTTGCAGCCCTCTCACACTCAAGAATGACAACAATCAGGCTTTTGGATTTTGGATGACAAGATACAGCACAACAATGGAATGGCCTCCTTTACTGTGAAAAGCTGGTGACAGATCAGTAGAAGTTAGTGAACTCAGTAGAAGTTAGGAAGACACAAGATATTTGATAGTTGCTAGCTTGTCTTTTTTTTTTTAACGTTTTCTTAAGCTGCAGGCAAAGTTTTATTTTAATTTCTGGATGTTTTTTGAAAAGTTAAATAAATATGGAAGTGCTAACAAATATCTGTGTTTCCAATATCCACAATTAATTAATGTTAATATTTTGGCATCATTGCTTCAGATATACTTTATATATGAAAGAAATAAAATATTACTTAGTTTAAGTCTTTCTCATTCTTATTCCCTCTTTACTTCTCCCCAAATAAACTTTCATTAGCTTAGTTTATATCATTCCAGTTTGTGTTTTTATATTTTTACTACATACTTTAAAAACATCTAAGAAAAACATATAATGTTATACTATGTTTTTCAATTTTATATGAATGCTTTCATATTTTATGTGTGTTATTGCAACTTGGTTTTAGTATTTATTCTTATATGGGGGGATCTTTTCATATTGATACATGCTATTCAAGATCATTTAATTTAATTGCTATATGGCAGCCTGTCTCACGCAGAGTTCTTCAGCTTAACCACTGAACCTAAGACAATGATTTGAATGACTTCTTTCTTAATTCTTGAATGATGATACATAACTAGGACCATTCTAGATATGTTGCAATTAGTTGATTCATTACATTTAATGGATGCCTTAGGCCACTGAAATTTCCTCCCTAAACTGCACTTGAGAAAGTCGGCTCTGTTGTATCACTATGCTACATTTTATTTCTTTATTCCCCATGCTGACAACATTTAAATGCTTCCAAAATATTACTTGAACAAATTCATTTCCCTCTAAAGATATTCTGCTTTACAAGTACAAGAGTTTTTCTGGGCCATGAATGTAGACACTAAATTTCTGAATTGTAGGATGGGAACATTTTAAATTTTACTAGAGATTGCAAAATTATTCTCCAGAGTAGTTGTACTCCTTTAACAGTGTGGAGAACTCACACCTCCCACATTCCTATCAACATTTGATATTGTCAGACTTCAATTTTTGCCAATTTGGTGTGAGTGAAATAGCATGTTATATTAGTTTTCTTTGATTATGCATAAATATATGCATTTTGTATGTTTGTTAACTATCCAGGTTTCCTCTTCTATGAATTTTCTGCTCAAAACCTTTGCCCTTTTTCCCATTTGGTTTTTATCTTTTAGTTTTTCTTTTGGCTGGGGTGCGGTTTGGTAGAACTTTCATAAACACATTTTTAAATTAATACCAATTCTTTATACAAGTTTCAAATATCTTCTCTCAGTTTGTGTCTCATGTTTTCTCCATGTTTATGATGTTCTTTTATATAACAGAAGATTTACATATTTATATAAACAAATTTATTAATCTTTGTAAGATGAGCCTTTTGTTTTATGTCTAAAACATTTTTTTCTACAATAGGGTCATAAAGATATTCTCATAGAATTGTTGCTAAAAGCTTTTCCTAGGCTACTTAGATCAGTAAACCACATAGAATTTATTGTGTACATATTTTTCCTAAAAGGAAGGCAACTGTCTGAGCGGCATTTGTTAACTAATTCCATCCTTTTATAACTGATTTGTAGTGGTATTTCTATAATATGTTAACCAAATTTTGTATACAATAAGAGCTACTTCTGGCTTCCCTGTTTTGTTCCACTGATCTTTTTCTGTATCCATGCAATAATACGCAAATGATCTTAATTGCTATTGCCTTCTACCATCTTGATATATGCTAAGCCAAATTCCCAATCTTCTTTTTCAGAATTGTCTTTGGCATGCAGTTTTTGTTCAATTAATAATTATTTAGTGTATATGTGTTAGACAGTAGGGATATAACAGTGAACAAAATGAAATTCCTGCTCTTATGCATCTTACATTCTAGTTGGGGTTAAAGACAGAAAAAAAATGGTTAAAGACAATATGTCAAGGGGTAATAAGAACTATGAATGAGAGTAAGCAGTGTAAGATGATAAAGCATGATAGGGTAATGGGAATTCTGTTCTAGTCTTAGACACTTAGTCTTACATATAGATTTAAGAATCAGAGTTTCTACTTTCATAAAAAATTTTTAAATTTCATTGAAATTTCATTAACTTACAGATTGATTTGGGGAGACTTGATATCTTGACATTGTTAAATCTTACAATTAATAAACAGTGTATGATCAATACTGCTATTGGAAAAGACAGAGCAATAGTAACTATATTTGTCTTTCTACCTAAAACAATTTTAAAATTGAAAATGTATGAAAGAATTAAAGACAGTAGACATCAGATAATGAAGTAAATGGTCCTTAAGAGACAGGAAATAAGTGAAGTAGCTTATATGGTGGCAATAAGCTTATTGCCTTGAAACAATTTCTGGGCCACAATGCAGAAAGGGCAAGCCTGATGGACTGTTATGTTGCAATGACAGAGTTAAGCCAATGTGCCAGAGCTAAGTGTTCTGGGAGACGAAGGCAGCTCAAGTTTGTAGGGAAGAGGACTGATCAATGGATGTATGAGGTAACTACCTGAAGCTGGAGAAAGAACCACTTAACAGGATCAGAGAGATAGTACCAGCATTTACAAAGGACCAAGAATAGTGTCTGCATCAACTAGCAAAAATGGAAGATTTCTTCATTCACAGAACACTGGGAAGAGTACCCAGAAAGATCTTGTTTCAGTAATGAGGCACTACTGGCCTCAGGCAAAAATTCTATTCTTTTCTTACCTAAAAGATCTTTAACACAAGATCTGAAAGTATCAAACTTTTCCCAAGTAACTACACTGTGCCCTCCATAAAAAGCTCCTCTTTTATATCTTATGGGAATACAAACATATTGAGCACCCAGCAAGGTAAAACTCACTGTATCTACATTCAGTAAGAAAATTACTCATCATGCAAAGAAGCAGAAAAATATGAGAGGTAATGAGGAGAAAATTAAGTAATAAAAATTGACATAAATGTTAGAATTAGCAAAGAAGGATATTAAAATAGTTCTTATAATCGTACTCCATATGTTCTATACCTAGAGGAAAGATTATGTTAAATAGAGACATGGAAAGTATCAAAAGAGAATATATCTACTTCTTCCAATTTAAACTTATAAAGATGAAACTTCATTGCCTATAATGAAAATATACCAGATTGAATTAATAGCATTATAGCAGAATAGACATTACAAAAGATAAGATTGGAGAACCTGAAGACTTAAAGAAATTCAAAATAAAATGGTAAGAAAAAAAAAAACAGAATATCAGTTGAATATCATTCTGAATATCAGAATGAAGTTGTCATGGGACAACTTCAAGCATTTAAATATATGTGTAATTGGAGTTTCCAAAGGAAAATTGGCAGTAGAAAAGTATTTGAATAAATAGTCTTTTTTTTTCAAATTTGATGAAAACTATAAACACAGATCCAATAACCAAGGCACCCCAAGAATTAAAAAATGATGAAAACTGCAATAGTCACATCAAAATCAAAATGTTCAACATTAACAATAAAGAGTAAATTTTAAAAGTAACCAGACATGTTACCTACAGAGAAAAAAAAAAGGATGGCAGCAGAAAGATGAGGATATAAATTGTCAACTATGTTTTCTGGCCACTATAAAATTAAACTAGAAATTAATAACAGAAAGAACTACAAAAAATCCCTATATTTAAAAACCAAATTTATTTTAGGATAATCTATTGGGTAAAGAGGAAATCTAAAGGAAAATTAAAATATTTTGAACTGAATGAAAATGAGAACAAAAAATATAGATACTTGTAGGCCATTGCTAAAGTAGCAATTAAAGGAAAATTAATAGAAATAATGCTTGTATTAAGAAATGTGGGAAATCCAAAATCAAAGACTTTATCTTCCATCATAAGAAACTAGAAAAAGTAAGGCAAATATAACACAAAACAAGTAGAAGAAAAAAAACAATAAAGATGAGAGTGGAAATTTATAAAATGAGAACAAAACTATTTCACTGAGAAAAACCCAAAAAACATTGATAAATATGTAGCCAGGCTAATTAGAAAATAAATGGAAAAAAATATTATGTTACCAATATGGTGATGTGACTTTATATTCTATAGGTATTGCAAAGATAATAAAGATAATAATACTAAAAATGTTTTGCCAATAAATCCAACAAATTAGAGGAAATGGATTAACTTATTGAAAGACAGAAACTATAAAAGCTCACTCAAGGATAAATAGATAAGTTGAATAACTCTATACCTACTAAAGATATTGAATTTGTAGTTAAAACTTTTCCACAAAGAAAACTATAGGCTTGGATGGCATCACTGAGCAATTTCATCAACATTAAAAAAAATACCAATACTACACAAATTCTTCCAAAATATTGAAGCAGAGAAAATCCTTCCCAGTCATTATGTTAGGCCAGCATTACTCTTATTCTAAAATAAGACAATGAGATCACAAGAAAAGAAAGCTACTTTTCAATATTCCGCATGGATACAGAGGTAAAAATTCTTAACACAATTTTAACAATTTGAATCTAACAATATATAAACAGAAATAATATATTATCACCAAGTGTAGTTCTCCCAGGAATGCAAGGTTGTTTTAACCTTAAAAAATCAATCAACATAATTCATGATATTAACAAACTGAAGAAGAAAAAGCTTATGATGCTGTTAATAGATGCAGGAAAAACATTTGGTAAAAATCTAACGTATTTTCCTGATAAAAACTCTCACCAACCTAGGGATAAAAGGAAACTTTTAGAACTTTATTTACAGTTAATTTCATCTGTAATGATGCCAAGATTTAATATTTTTCCCCTAAGATAAGAAACAAGGCAATAACATTTGCTCACAATATTTATTTTTAACATTGTAATAAAGGTTCTATCCAGTATAATTGGGAAAAGAAAAAGCTATACAGATTAGAAATGAATAAGTAAAAATTGTCTTTATTAGCAGCCTGTATGATTGTTTATGAGAAAATCTGATAGAGTCCATAAAAAAGCTACTAGAATTAATAAGCAAATTTAGCAATGTTATAGGACACAAGATCACTATACAAAAATAAGTTTCATTTCTCTACACTAATAAAGAATCAGATATTGAATATAAAAAACAACTATTAATATTTATAATAGCATCAGAAAAAATAAGTACTTAAGTATAAATCCTACTAAAGATATACAGGAACTGTACACTGAAAACTACAAAATATTTCTAGGAAATTAATGAAAACTTAAGTCAATGAAGAGATATACCACGTTAATAGATAGGAAGTCTCAATATTGTTAAGATGTCAGTTCTCTCCAAATTGATCTACATATTTAAAGCATTCCTAATCAAATTCCATTAAGCTTTTTAAAAGGTGAAAATTGGCAAGCAAATTCTAAAAGTCTAAAAGGACCTAGAATAGCCAAAATGACTTCAAACAAAGAACAAAATCAAAGCATTAACAGTACCTGATCTCAAGAAATACTATAAAACTACAATAATCAAGATAGTGTGGCATTGGCAAAAAGATAAACAACTAGATCAATAAAACAGAATAGACAATCCAGAAAGAGACCTCACATATAGCAGCAAATGATTTTCAACGAGGATGCAAAGAAAATTCAGCAGAGATGTGCTGGTGCTGAAACACTTGAATAGCCATAAGCAACAAATATAAATTTTGATCTATACCTCATGCCATATAAGAAATTAATCCAAAATATATTATAAATCTAAATACAAAACCTAAAACTATAAGATTTTAGCAGAAATATGGAAAAATATATTAGTGACATAGAGTTTGATAAAGATTTCTTAGATACATTACCAAAAGCATGATCCTTAAAAAACTGATAAATCGAACTTTATTAAAATTAAAATAAGTATTTTTTGAAAGACACTTTAAAATTAAAAAACAAGTCGTAGAGCAAAAAAATTTTGAAAAGCATATATCTAATGAAGGACTTATACAAAATACAAAAAGAATTCTCAAAACTCAAGAATATTCCAATAATCCCATGACTGGGTATAGGTCCAAATAAAAAAAGGAAGGAAATCAATATATCAAAGAGACATCTGCACTCCTATGTTAATTGCGGCACTATTTACAATGGCCAAGATACACAATCAGCCTACATGTCCATTAACATGAGTGGATAAAGAAAATATGGTATGTATATATAATACAATGTTATTCAGCCATAAAAAATAATAATATCTTGTCATCTGCAACAACATGGAAATAACTGGAGGACATTATGTTAAATGATGTCCTCATTCATATACAGAGTTAGAAAAATGATTTCATGGAGATAGAGATTAGAATAATGGTTGCCAGAGGCTAGGAAGGGTAGTGGGAATGGTAGATAAAGAACAGTAGGTAAATGTGTACAACTACACAGTTAATAGAAGGAATAAAGTCTAGTGTTTGGCAGCACAATAGGGTGACTATAGTTAACATTAATTTGTTGTATATCTCAAAACAACTAGAAGAATAGAATTGAAATGTTCCTAACACATAAAAATCATAAATGTTTAAGGTGATAGAGACCCAATCACTCTGATGCAATAATTACATATTATATGCTTGTATCAAAATATCACATGTACCCCATAAATATATACAACTATTACACATCCATCAAAATTAAAAATAATACAACTGTTTCAAAACAACTCAATGAAAAGGAAACAAATAACTCAAAAATAGGCAAAATGTGGCCGGGCACGGTGGCTCAAGCCTGTAATTCCAGCACTTTGGGAAACCGAGGTGGGTGGATCACGAGGTCAGGAGTTCGAGACCAGCCTGACCAACACGGTGAAACCCCGTCCCTACTATAAATACAAAAATTAACTGGGCATGGTGGCCACACCTGTAATCCCAGCTACCTAGGAAGCTAAGGAAGGAGAATCACTTGAACCTGGCAGACGGAGGTTGAAGTGAGCCAAGATCATGCCATTGCATTCCAGCCTGGGTGACTGGAGTAAAACTCCATCTAAAAAAAAAAAAAGGCAAAATATTTGATCAGACGTTTCACTAAAGAAAAGAAAATAAACACGTGGTAAATAAGCATTTGAAGAGATGCTCAACAATATTGTTTATTAGGGAAATGCAAATTAAAACACTATAATCTACTACTGTACATTTAACACAATGGCTAGAATTAAAAAGACTGCTCATTCCAAGTATCAATGAGAATGTAGAGCTACTCAACTAATACTCTCATACACAGCTGGTAAGAACACAAAATGTTACAACTACTATGGAAAACAATTTGACGGTTTCTTAAAAGCTAAATATTGTATCTACCATATGATCCAACCAAGATCTCTTACTCAAGAGAAATGAAAACATGTCTTCACAAAAAATGTACAGAAATTTTTATACAGATATTATTTATTTATTTTTGAGATGGAGTCTCGCCCTGTCACCCAGGCTGGAGTGCAATAGGTCGATCTTGGCTCACTGCAACCTCCACCTCCCAGGTTCAAGCGAATCTCCTGCCTCAGTCCCCAGAGTAGCTGGGACTACAGTCCTGCACCACCGCACCTGGCCAATTTTTATATTTTTAGGAGAGACGGAGCTTTGCCATGTTGGCCAGGCTGGTCTTAAACTCCCCGAACTCAGGTGATCCTCTTGCCTTGGCCTCCCAAAGTGCTGGGATTACAGGTGTAAACCACTGTGCCTGGAGGGGAGATTTATTTTTGAAAGTACATTAGGGAAAAGAGCTAATGTATGCTGGGCTTAACATCGAGATGATAGTTGATAGGTACAGCAAACCACCATGGCACACGTTTACCTATGTAACAAACCTGCACATCCTGCACATGTACTCTGAAACTTGAAAAATAAAATAAAATATTAAAAAAACAAAAACAACAAAATATCCATTAACAGATGTAAAAATAAATTATCATATAGTCATACAATAGAATACTATTTAGCAATAAAATGGCATGACCACATTGCTAAATTTGCTTGTTAGTTCTAGTAGCTTTTAAAATAGATTCTAACAGATTTTGTCATACACCACTATGGAGACTGTGAATAAAGACCACTTTACTTCTTCACTTCTAATCTGGATGTCTTTTATTTATTTTTTCCTTCCTAATTAGCAAAATAATTATGCTAATGAAATAAACTAGACAAAAATGACCATATATTATGTGGTTCCATTTATAAAATTTATAGAAAATTCAAATAAATCCAAAGTGAAAGAAAGTAGATCAGTGGTTGTCTGAAAAATAGGAGGTGGCAGAAGCAAGAGGAAGTGGGAAGTAAGGATTAAAAAGGAATGTGAAGGGAGGGTGTAGTATCTCACACCTGTAATCTCAGCACTTTGGGAGGCTGAAGCAGAAAAATTGCTTGAGCCCTGGAATTTGAGACCAGACTGGGCAACATGGCAAGACCCCGTCTCTACAAAAAGTACAAAAATTAGCCAGGTAAGGTGGCACATGCCTGTAGTCCAAGCTACTTTGGAGGCTGAGGTGGAAGGATTGATTGAGCTTGGGAGGTTGAAGCTGCAGTGAGCCATGATCACACGACTTCACTCCAGCCTGGGTGCAGAGTAAGATCCTATCTCAAAAAAAGACTAAAATACATAGATTAAGAGTAAATATACACCAAAAAAAGTTCCATGCAGGCTTGGTGGGGAGCAAGAAGGTGGAATAGAAAGCTCCAATGATTACCCCCTCTGAATGGACACCAATTTGATAACTATCTACACACAAAAAAAAATCTTCAAAAGAACCAAAAAATGAGGTGAGCATTCATAGTACCTGGTTTTAATTTCATATCACTGGAAGAGGCACTGAAGAAGTAGGAAAAACAGTCTTGAATTATCAACACCACCCCCGCTGCCCGTCCCCTGGCAGTGGCAGCATAGGGAGGAGAATGATTCTGTGTGGTGGAGAATGGGAGAGCACAACAATTGTGAGGCATTAAACTCAGTGCTGGTTTCTGATAGCAGAAAGCAAAAACAGAACAAACTCATCTGATGCCCAACCGTGAAGGGAGCATTTAAACCAGCCCTAGCCAGAGGGAAATCACTGATCCCAGTGGTAGGACCTTGAGTTCCCACCAACCTCACCCCTGCAGGCTAAAGTGCTCTGAGTCTCTAAGTAAAGAAAGGCAGACTAGGTCACAAGAACTGCAACTCTTGAATGAGTCCTAGTGCTGAACTGGGCCCAAAGCCAGTGGACTTGGAAGGCATGTGATCTACTGAGACATCAGCTGGAGCACTGGCATTTCTCCTCCCCTAAGCCCAGGCTGCACAGCTCACAGCTCCGAAAGAGACCCTTTCCTCTCACTTGAGGAGAGGAGAGGGAAGATAGCGAGGACTTTGTCTTGTACCTTAGATATCAGCTCAGCCACAGCAGGATCTGGCACTAGTCAGAGTTGTGATGGCTCCTTTTCCAGTCCCTAGCTTCTGGATGGCATTTCTAGACACAACCTGGGCCAGAAGGGAACTCATTGCTTTGACAGGAATAACCCAGCCTTGGCAGGATTCATCACCTGCTAACTGAAGAGCCCTTGGGCACTGAATAACCCACAGTGATACCCAGGTACTATATCATGGGTCTTGGATGTGACTCTGAAACTTGCTGGCTTCAGTTGAGACTCAGTGCATTCCCAGCTGTAGTGGCTACAGGGCAAGAATCCTTCTGTTTGAGTAAAGTACAGGGAAAAGTAAAAAGAACTTTGTCTTATGCCTTAGGTACCAGCTTGACCACAGGGGGATATATGATCAAAGGGGCTCATGTGGTCCCTGATTCCAGGACTTGACTCTTGAACATCATTTCTAGACCTTCCCTGGGCTGGAGGGGATCCCACTGCCCTTAAAGGTAAATCCCAGGCCAGGCAGAATTCATTATAAGCTGACTAAGTAGCCCTTGGGCCTTAAGGGAACATTAGCGGTAGTCAGGCAGTACTCCCTGTGACCTGTGTTGGTGGCGGTCATGAGGTGACTCCTGCCTTGGAAAAGGGGAAGGAAGAGTGGGACCGGCTGTATAATCTGGTTTGAGTACAGTATTTTGTACTCAGCCACAGGAAAATAGAACACCAGGTAGACTTCTAAGGTTTAATTCTAGTTCCTGGCTCATGTAATGGCAACTCTGGACCCACCTGGGGCCTGGAGGAGCTTACTGACTTGAAGGGAAGGACATAAGCCTGACTAGTTTCATCACTTGCTGATTGTAGAGCTGATTATAGAGCCCCATAGCCTTGAGCAAACATAGGCAGTAGCCAAGGAATGGTTACAATAGGCCTTGGATGAGACCCAGTGCTGTGCTGGCTTCAGGTCTGACACAGCATAGTCCTAGTGGTGGTGGCCACAGGGGTGCTTTTGTCATTCCACATCCAGCTTCGGGTTGCTCAGAACAGAGAGACTACATTTGTTTGGGAGAAAGTAAGGGAAGGTAATAAGAGTCTCTGCCTGATAATCTGGAGAATTCTTCTAGATTTTCTTCCGGACAATCAAGGTGGTACCTCTACAAGTCTGAAATAACCACAGCACTACTGAGCTTGGGGTGCTCCCTAAAGCAGAAACTTAGATCACAACACCCAAGTCCTTTATAACATCTCAAAAGCCTTCCAAAGAGGAATGGGTACAAATAAGCTCAGACTACAAAGACTGCAGTAAATACCTAACTCTTTAATGCCCAAACACAGATGAACACTGACAAGCATCAATACCATGCAGGAAAACATGACCTCACCAAATGAACTAAATAAAGCACCAAGGACCAATCCTGGAGAAGCAGAGATATGTGACCTTTGAGATAATTCAGAATAGCTGTGTTGAGGAAACTCAAAGAGATTCAAGATAACACAGAGAAGGAATTCAGAATTCTATCAGATGTAACAAAGAGGTTAAAATAATTAAAAAGAATCAAGCAGAAATTCTGGAGTGAAAAGTAAAACTGATATACTGAAGAGTTCATCAGAGTCTCTTAACAGCAGAATTGGCCAAGCAGAAGGAAGAATTAGTGAGCTTGAAGACAGGCTATCTGAAAATACACAGTCAGAGGAGATTAAAGAAAAAAAAATATAAAAAACAATGAAGCATCCCTGCAGCCTCTAGAAAATAGCCTCATAAGGACAAATCTGAGTTATCGGCCTTAAGGAGGAGGTAGGGAAAGAGATAGGGGTATAAAGTTTATTCAGAAGGATTATAAAAAAAGACTTCCCAAATGTAGAGAAAGATATCAATATCCAACTACCAGAAGGTTATAAAATACCCAGCAGATTTAACCCAAAGAAGACTACCTCAAGGCATTTAATAATCTAACTCCCAAAGGTCAAGGATAAAGAAAGAATCCAAAAAAAAAAAAAAAAAAAGAGAAAGAAACAACTAACATAAAATGAAGCTCCAATATGTCTTGCAGCAGACATTTTAGTGGAAACCTTACAGGCCAGGAGAGACAGGCATGACATACTTAAAGTGCTGAAGGAAAAAAACACTTTTACCTTAGAATAATATGCCTGGTAAAAAATGTCCTTAAAACATGAAGAAGAAAGAAAGACTTTCCCAGACAAACAAAAGCTGAGGGATTTCAACACCAGACCTGCCCTACATGAAATGCTAAAGAGAATACTTTAATCAGAAAGAAAAGAACCATTAATGAGCCATAAGAAATCATCTGAGGGTAACAAAACTCACTGGTAATAGCACACAGAAAAGCACAGAATATTATAACACCTAACTGTGCTGTGTAAGCTACTCTTAAGTAGAAAGAATAAATGATGAACTAATCAAAAATAATAACTATAACTTTTTAAGACATAGACAGTACAATAAGATATATATAGAAACAACAAAAAGTTTAAAAGTTGGGGGATGAAGTTAAGGTGTAGAGTTTTTATTAGTTTTCTTTTTGCTTATTTCTTTGTTTATGCAAACAGTGTTATCAGCTTAAAATAATAGGTTATAAGATAGTATTTGCAAGCCTTGTGGTAACCTCAGAACAGAAAACAAACAACAAACACACAAAAAATAAAAAGCAAGAAATCACCAGAGAAAATCACCTTTACTAAAAGAAAAATGGAGAGGAGAGGAGAGGAGGAAAAAGAAAAGAAGACCACAAAACAACCAGTAAACAAATAACAAAATGGCAGGAGTTAGTTCTTACTTATCAATAATAATATTGAAGGTAAATAAACTAAACTCTTTAATCAAAAGAAACAGAGTGGCTGAATGGATGAAGAAACAAGACCAAATAATCTGTTGCCTACAAGAAACACACTTCATCTATAAAGACACACATAGACTGAAAACAAAGGCATGAAAAAAGATATTCCATGACAATGGAAATAAAAAAAAGCAGGAGTACCTATGCTTATATCAGAAAAAATAAATTTCAACACAAATGCTATAAGAAGAGACAAAGAAGGTCATTATATAATGATAAAGGGATCAAATCAATGAGAGGATTTAACAATTTTAAATATATATATGTGTGTGTGTGTGTATATACATATACACACACACATTTGCTTTATATATTTAGGTGCACCAATGTTGGGTGAACTCATCCTATGAGGCCAGTATTACCTTGATACCAAAACCAGACGAAGAAACATTAAAAAAAGAAAACTATAGGTCAATATCTCTGATGTCTATTGATGAAAAATCAATGTCTATTGATGAAAAAATCCTCAGCTCAAGTGGCCAAGGCAAGATGGGTCAAAGTCAGAGTGTGGTCATGTTCCTGGAGGTGGCAAGAAAGATGACAAGGACAAGAAAAAGAAATATGAACCTCCTGTACCAACTACAGTGGGGAAAAAGAAGAGAACAAAGGAACCAGATGCTGCCAGCAAACTGCCACTGTTGACACCTAACACTCAGTGCCCATTAAAATTACTGAAGTTAAAGAGAATGAAAGACTATCTTCTCGTGGAGGGATAATTAATTAGAAATCAGAAACTAATGAAACCATTAGAAGAAAAGCAAGAGGAGGAAAGATCAAAAGTGGATGATCTGAGTGGGACCCCAATGTCAGTAGGAACTTTGGAAGAGATCATCAGTGACCATTATGTGTGCATCTGTGGGCTGAGAACACTACGTCAGCATTTTTTTCATTTGTAGACAAGGATCTGCTGAAACCTGGATGCTTGGTCCTGCTCAGCCACAAGGTGCATGCTGTGATGGGGTGCTGATGGATGACATGGATCCCCTAGTCACAGTGATGAAGGTGGAAAAGTCCCCCCAGGAGATCTGTGCCAATACTGGGGTGTTGGACAACCAAATTTAGGAAATTAAGGAATCTGTGGAGCTTCCTCTAACCCATCCTGAATATTATGAAGAGATGGGTATAAAGCCTCCTAAGGGGGTCATTCTCTATGGTCCACCTGGCACAGGTAAAATCTTGTTAGCCATAGCAGCAGGAAACCAAACCTCCACCACTTTCTTGAAAGTGGTTGGCTCTGAACTTATTCAGAAGTACCTAGGTGATGGGCCTGAATTTGTATGGAAATTGTTTTGAGTTGCTGAAGAGCATGCACCATCCATTGTGTTTATTGATGAAATTGATGCCATTGGAACAAAAATATATGACTCAAATTCTGGTGGTGAGAAAGAAATTCATTCAGTGAACAATGTTGAAACTGTTGAACCAGTTGGGTGAATTTGATCGTAGGAGAGATGTGAAAGTTATCATGGCCACAAACTGAATAGAAACTTTGGATCCAGCACTTATCAGACCAGGCCACATTAACAGAAATATCGAGTTCCCCCTTCCTGATGAAAAGACTAGGAAGCACATCTTTCAGATTCACACAAGCAGGATGACGCTGGCTGATGATACAACCCTGGACGATTTGATTATGGCTAAAGATGACCTCTCTGGTGCTGACATCAAGGTAACATGTAGAGAAGCTGGTCTGTGGCCTTAAGAGAATGTAGAATGAAAGTAACAAATGAAGACTTCAAAAAAATCTAAAGAAAATATTCTTTATAAGAAACAGGAAGGCTCCCCCGAGGGGCTCTATCTCTAGTGAACCACAGCTGCCATTAGGAAAGTGGTTGGGAGATATCCTGACCCCTGAAAGGGATGAGGTTGGGGGAGTTGCCCAGAGGAATCCCTGTTCCTGTTGACTTTATTAGCAAAAAATCCTGTGTCTTTTGGAGTATGATGTGTAAGTGCCCTTTGGGCAGCCATCATCTGTTGGTCACTGTGCAGCACTCTGCTTCCCAATAAAGTGTGCTCTTTCACAAACAAACAAAAAAAAAAAACAAAAAGAAAAAGAAAAAAGAAAAATTCTTCAACCAAATACCAGCAAACCAAACTCAACAATACATTAAAAAAATTATTCATCATACCAAGTGGGATTTCTTCCTGGGATGCAAGGTTGGTTCAACATACACATCAATTAAGATTATACATCATATCAACAGAATGAAGGACAAAAAAAAGATCATTTCTATTGATGCTGAGAAAAGATTTGATAATATTCAACATCCCTTCATGATAACAACCCTTTAAAAACTGGGTACAGAAAGAATGTACCTCAACATAATAAATGCCATATACAACAGACTGATAACTAGCATTATACTAAATGTGGAAAAACTAAAAGACTTCTCTGAGATCTGAAACATGACAAGAATGCCCACTTTCACCACTGTTATTCAGCACAGTAGTGGGAGTCCTAGCTAGAATAATCAGATAAGATAAAGAAATAAAGGGCATCCAAATTGGAAAAGAAGTCAAATTATCCTTGTTTACAGATGATGTGATCTTATACTTGGAAAACTCTAAAGATGCCACCAAAAACTATTAAAATTGATAAATTCAGTAAAGTAGCAGGATACAAAATCAATATACAAAAATCTGTAGCATTTCTATATGACAACAGTGAACAATCTGAAAATGAAATAAAGTATTCTTAATTACAATAGCCACAAATAAAATTAAATATCTAGGGATTAACCAAGCAAGTGAAAGATCTTTACAATGAAAACTGTACAACACTGATGAAAGAAATTGAAAAGGACACCAAAAAATGGAAAGATATTCCATGTTCATGGATTGGAAAAATCAATATTGTTAAAATGTCCATACTACCCAAAGCAACCTACAGGTTCAATGTAATCCATATCAAAATACCAATGAAATTTTTTCACAGCAAAAGAAAAAACAACCCTAGGTTGTATATAGAATCACAAAAGACCCAGAACAGTCAAAGCTATCCTAAGCAAAAAGAACAAAACTGGTGGAATCATATTACCCGACTTCAAATTATACAGAGCTATAATAACCAAAACAGCATGGTACTGGCATAGAAACAGATACATTACAAACTAAACACAATAGAGTACCCAGAAACAAATCTATACACCTACAGTGAACTCATTTTTGACAAAGTTGCCAAGAACATCCACTGGGGAAAAGTGTATATCCAAATGGTGCTAGGAAAACTGGATATTCATATGCAGAAGAATGAAACTAGACCTCTATCTGTTGCCATATACAAAAATCAAATCAAAATGGATTAAAGACTTAAATCTAAGACCTCAAACTATGAAGCAGCTAAAAGAAAACAATGGGGACACTCTCCAGGACATTGGTATACAAAACAATTTCCTGAGTAATACCCCAAAGGTACAGGCAACCAAAGCAGAAATGGACAAATGTGATCATATCAAGTTAAAAAGCTTCTGCACAGCAAATAAAATAATCAACAAAGTGAAAAGACAATCCACAGAACTGGAGAAAATATTTGCAAACTATCCACTTGACAAGGGATTAATAACCAGAATATACAAGCAGCTTAAACAACTCTATAGGAAAAAAATTAATAATCCAATTTTAAAATGGGCAAAAGGTTTGAATAGACATTTCTTAAAAGAAGACATACAAATGATAAACAGGCATATGAAAAAGTGCTCAACATCTTTGATTATCAGAGAAATGCAAATCAAAATTACAAGGAGATATCATCTCACCTCAGCTACAATGGCTTATTTCCAAAAGACAGGAAAAAGCAAATGCTGGTAAGGATGTGGAGAAAAGGGAACCCTCATACATTGTTGGTGGGAATGTAAATGGGTACAACCACTATGGAGAACAGTTTCTCAAAAAGAGAAATGTTTCTCAAAAAACTAAAAATAGAGCTAACATATTATCTGGCAATCCCACTGCTGGGTATGTACCCCAAAGAAAGGAAATCAGGATATTGAGGAGATATCTGCACTCCCATGTTTGTTGCAGCACTGTTCACAATAGCCAAGATTTTGGAGCAACCCACGTGTCCATTAACTGATGAATGGATAAAGAAATGTGGTACCTATAAACCACATTTCAGCCACAAAAGAATGAGATTCAGTCATTTGCAACAACATGGATGAAACTGATAGGGACAGGAGACAGAGAGACACTGTGTAGAACAGGGTGGTTTCCCAGAAAAGGCCTCACCCTCAAGCCTGAAGACTCAAGGCCCTAAATGAAAACAGGCATTTCTGATTTCATGCCCCAAAAGTTGCCATTTGCTCTGCCACACCCTCTATTCTGCACCCATATAAACCCTGAGTCGCAGGGTCCAGAAGCAGACCAGCATACCAGCAGTTCAGCAAGCCAGCAGACCAGCAGACCAACAGCAGAATGACGCAGCAGAGAGGGAGAGAAGAGAACATCTGAGTGCAGACAGCAGTTAGGCTGGGGACAGACCCTGGGCAACTTGACTCCTAATAATAACAGGAGATGTTAATACTTCACTTTCAATAATGAATACACCAAACAGACAGATTAATTAATAAAGAGAAAACAAAAATATAAGCGTTGGTGAGGATGTGGTGAAAAAGGAACCATGTAGACTGTTGGCGAAAATTAATATAAATTAGGACAGTCTTATGGAAAACTGTATGGAGTTTCCTCAAAACACTAAAAATAGAATTACCATATGATCCAGCAACCACACTTCTGGGTATTTACCCAAAGGATTTGAAATCAATACATCAAAAAGATGTTTGCACTCCCATGTTCACTGCAGCACTATTCATAACAGACAAGATATGGAGTCAATCTAAGTGTCTATCAAAAGATGAATGGATAAAGAAAATGTGGTATATATACAAAATTGAATATTACTGAGCCTTAAAAAAGTAAGAAGGCCGAGTGTGGCTTGCACCTGTAGTTCTAGCACTTTGGGAGGCCAAGGCAGGAGAGTTGCTTGAGGCCAGGAGTTAGAGATGAGCCTGGGCCAACATAGGAAGATCGGGTCTCTACCAAAAATTTAAAAATTAGCCAGGTATGGAAGCATGCATCCGTAGTCCCAGCTACTGAGGCAGAAGCATCACTTGAGGCAGAAGTTTGAGGCTGCAGTGAGCTAAGAAGGTGCGACTGAACTTCAGCCTGAGTGACAGTGAGACCCTGTGTCTAAAAAAAAAGGAAGGAAAGATTTTGTCTTCTGCAACAACATGGACGAATTTGAGAACCCTGTGCTAAGTAAAATAAGCAATAATCCAAGGACAAAGAAAGATAAACAGCACATGTTCTCACTTATATGTGGAATCTAAAACAATAGAACACAAAGAAGTAAAGAATAGAATGGTGGTCATCAGAGGCTGGGGGTGTTAGTAAGCAAATAAGGAGGTAATGTCAAAGGGTACAAAGCCTCGTTAGACATGAGGTTTTTCTCTGAGATTTATTGCATGGTATGGTGAATTTACAGTAAATATTAATGTATCCTAGATTTCCAAATCACTAAGAGTAAATTTCATCAGATGTTCTCAACACACACACACAAAATGATAAGTATTTGAGGTGATGGATATCCTAATTCACTTGATATAATTATTTCATATTGTGTTTATAAATCATAATGTCACTTTGCAATCCATAAATATATACAACTATAATTTGTTAATTTATAATTAAAAATGAAATTTAAAAATATATTTACACATAAAAAAGAAACAGAAGACTTAAACAAAACTGTAGAACAATTAAGCCCATGCAGCACACTCCTCCCCACAACAGCAGAATACACATTCTTCTCAAATGGATGTGGCACATTCTCAATGATAGATTATATGTTGGACCATTAAATGAATTTCAATTCCTTAACAAATTTAAGAAGATTGAAATTGTACCAAGTATATTTCGTGACCCCAGTGGAGTAAAACTAGAAATTGATAGCAAAAGAAAAATGGAAAAAAAGAGAAATATGTGGAAATTAAACAACACGTTATTGAAAAACCAATGAGTCAAAGAAAAAAAATCAGAAAAAAAATTAGAAAACAGCTTGAGACAAACAAAATTGAAAACATACAGGAATTTATGAGATGCACTAAAAGCAGAATTATGAGAAAAGTTTATAGTGGTAAATGTGTATATTAAAAAAGAAGGAAGATCTCAAATCAACAGCTTGACTTAAACCTCAAGGAACAAGAGAAAGAACAAACTAAGCTCAAAGTTAGCAGAAGAAAGGAAATAGAAAAGAATTCAAGAGAAATAAAAAATAAAGAATAGAAAAAATCAATGAAACTAAGAATTAATTTTTGAAAACATCAATAAAATTGACAAACCTTTAGCTTGACTAAGAAAAAAGAAAGAAGGTTCAAATTACAAAAATTAGAAATGAGACAGTATAACTGATGCTGCAGAAATAAAAAGGATCAAAACAGACTACTATGGACAATTATACACCAACAAGTTGAATAAGCTGGAAGAAATGGAAAAATTTCTAGAAGCATACTATCTACCAAGACTGAATCATGAATAAATTTAAAAATCTGGGATGGGCACGGTGGCTCACGCCTGTAATCCCAGCACTTTTGGAGGCCAAGGTGGGCAGATCATGAGGTCAGGAGTTTGAGACCAGCCTGGCCAATATAGTGAAACCCCATCTCTACTAAAAAATACAAAAACTAGCCAGGCATAGTGGCATGTGCCTGTAGTCCCAGCTACCTGGGAGGCTGAGTCAGGAGAATAGCTTGAATCCAGGAGGTGGAGATTGCAGTGAGCCAAGACCACACCATTACACTCCAGCCTGGGTGACAGAACAAGACTCCACCTCAAAAAAAAAACAAAACAAAACAAAAAGAAAACAAAAAACGACCAGATCTACAATGAGTGAGGAGATTTAATCAGCAGTCAAAAACCTTAGAACAAATAGAAGCCTAGAATGATATGACATTTTTGAAGAAGTTTAAAAACCATTTAAAAAATAAATAATACAAACCCTTCTCAAATTGTCCCCCAAAAATTCAAGAGAAGACTTCCAAACTCATTTTATGAGGCCAGCATTCTTCTAATACCAAAGTCAGGTAAATATATTACAAAAAAAGAAAACTACAGACTAATATTCCTGATAAATATTGATGCAAACATTCTCAGCAAAATACTAGTAAACTGAATTCAACATATTAAAAAAGTATACATTGTAACTAAACGGTATCCATTCCTGGAATTCAAGGATGGTTAAACAGATAAAAATCAATTAATATAATATACCACATTAACACAATGAAGGACAAAAGCAACATAATCATATCAATTGATGCAGAAAAAGCATTTGAAAAAATTCCACAGCCTTTCATGATAAAAATTCTCATTTAACTAGGAATAAAAGGAAACTACTTTAACGTAATAAAGGCTATGTATTAAAAGCTCACAGCTAACATCATGGCAAACTGAAAGCTTTCCCTCTAATATCAGGAACAAGGCAATGATACATCTCTTGCCACTTCTATTAAAGGTAGTAGTGGAAGTCTAAGCTAGAGAAGTTAGAAAAGAAAAAATAAGAAAAGAAAAAATAAAAATATCCAAGTTAGAAAGGAAGAAATAAATCATCTCTACAGAAGACATGACTTTATATGTAGAAAATCCTAACAATTCCACACAAAAAACTGTTAGAACTAGTAGATTAATTTAGCAAAGTTGCAGGATACAAAACTACACAAAATCACCATATTTCTGTACATTAACAATGAAAAATATGAAAAGGAAAACAATTTAATCTTATTCACAATAGCATAAGAGAGAATAAAATAATTAGGAAGAAACTTAACCAAGGAGGTGAGAGACTTACACAGTGAAAACAACAAAATATTGCTGTAAAAATACAAAGAAATAGAAAGACATCCCATCATGGATTGGAAGACCTAATATTATTGAAATGTCAACGTTATACAAAGCTATCTGCAGATTTAATGCAATCCTTAATAAAATCCAAGTGGCTTTTTTTTGTAGAAATAGAAAGAAAAGACATTTAAAATTCATGTGAAATCTGAAAAGATCCCTAATAACCATAACAAACTTGAGAAAGAAAAATAAAGCTGTGGGTCTTATACTTCCTGCTCTCAAAACATATTACAAAGTTATAGTTATCAAAACAGTGTGATACTGGTATAAAGACAAACATATAGTCCAATGGAAAACAATAGAGAACTCGGAAATAAATTGACAAATACATGGTCAACTGATCTTTCATAAGGGTGTCAAGAACACACAATCGGAAGAAAATTGTCTCTTCATCATATGGTATTGAGGAAAACTGAATATCCACATGCACAAAAAAAATAAAGTTGGAGTCTTACCTCACACCATATTTAAAAATTTAATTAAAATTGAATTAAAGTCCTAAGTGTAATACGCAAAACTATAAAAACCCAAAAACTAAACATAGGGGAAAAGTTTTCTGACATTGGATTTGGCACTGATTTATTGGATATGACACCGAAAGCAAAAATAGACAAATGGGACTACATCTAACTTAAAAACTTCTGCATAGCAAAGGAAACAACAGAGTAAAAAGGCGATCTACAGAATGGGAGAAAATAATTTAAACCATTAATCTGATAAAGGATTAACATCCAGAATTTATAAGGAACACCTACAACTCAATAGCCAAAACCCAAATAACCCAATTAAAAAATAGGCAAAGGCATTGAATAGACATTTCTCCAAAGAAGACATACAAATGATCAACAGGTGTATGAAAAGGTGTTCAGCATTGCTAATCATCAGGAAATTTCAAATCACACCCATTAGAATGGCAACTATTTTTTTTAAAAAAAAAGTGTTAGGAAGGATGTGGAGAAACTGGAACTCTTGTGCACTGCTAGTGTGAATGTAAAATGCTGCAGCCACTATGGGAAGCAATATGGCAATTCTTCAAAAAATTGAAAATAGAATTAACATATAATCCAGAAACCCCACTTCTGGGTATATATCCCAAAGGACTGAAAATAGGATCTTGAAGAGATATTTGCACAACTATGTTCACTACAGCATTATTCACAATAGGCAAGAAATTGAAGCAATCTAAGTGTCCATTGATAGATGAATGGACAAAGAGAATATAATATATATGTGCAATGTAATATTATTCAGCCTTTAAAAAGAAAATCCTCTCATATGCTACAAAATCAATGAACATCAAGGACATTACGCTAAGTGAAATAAACAGTCACAAAGAGACGAATAATGCATGATTCTGCTTATATGAGGTATCTAAAGTAGTCAAACTTAGAAACAGAGAGTAGAGTAGTGGTTGCTAGGGTTTGGGGGAGGGATAAAGGGGAGTTGTTAAATGGGTACAGAATTTTAATTTTAATTTTAATTTTAATTTGTCAAGATAAAAGTTCTAGAGGTTGTATACAAGGTACATGTAGTTAACACTGTATTGTGCACTTAAAAATGCTTAATATAGTAAAATTTTTATTATGGGTGATTTATCACAATAGAAAAAATGGGACATGAGGAAGCTTTTGGGTCATAGGGATATGTTCATGATTCTGATTATAGTGATTATTTCAACTCCCCTCTATCCCTCCCCCAACCCATAGCAACCACTACATCTATTTCATGGATGTAATCATATGTCAAATTTTACCATGCTTTATGCTTTAACTATTCACAGTTTATTTGTATGTCAACTATATTTCAATAAAGGTACTTAAAAATCAACATGGCATAACTCAATTTTTTTCAGGTCTAATCTGTTATTTCTTATGGAATGTCTTGATCCATGTTCTCGGTTATTTTAAGGAGTTCCTGGCATTTGCGGTTGCTGTTTCTAAGACAGCAGTGAATATAAATGGCTATAATCTGCACTCATTCCTTCAGCTCTAAAAACACTATACCTTCTAAAATGAGGCAAGGTGCTATCAGAAAAAGGTGGATAGGTTTAGGTTTACAGGAGCTAGTAGCATTTTTTTTCAAACACACTCTCTCACAATTGTCTCTCCCTTATCCTCACTCCATAGTTTCTAGGAACTGGTGCAATAAGCGGTGCCTAGTGGTGGCACCAAACCTGCATATGGTTTATGTAGTGGGGTCGTGGTGCTAAGACATAGGTTTCTGGGGGAGCCTTACAGCTGACCAAGATGTAATCATAATTCTGATTATAAAAGTCCTTCACAGTTAATGCTGTGCTAACCGAGGGCATTCATAAGATACCTTAAGATTTCCACTATAGAGCTGGGGCATCTTCTCATAGGGAGGCATTCATGGAAGACAAGATAATGCTCAAACCTACTAAAGGCCTACATTGTCACTGAAGTTTTGGGGATAGGTGCTTGGTGTTACTGTTTGCCATCTCTGCCTCCAATTTGCTAGAGAAGTATTCTTTCTGAGTACATCAATACACTGTCGCTCCAGGATACTGGGGTTGCTTCAAACTTTGATGGACTGTATTCCATGGCTGATTAATTCCTATAAAGAGAAAATCTCTTTAAGACTATGTTTTTGACCATCATTCCTAGGACTCGTCAAGGCAATCAAGATTATTTCAAAGCATACTACTGTTAGTTAACATTAATGTGAACTTCCTTTCATCTTGAGGTGTCAACAACATATAGTATTACATAGGTATGGGGTCCTTTTGGACCTCAGAGATAGTAGAATGTGAGACAATCTGTGTTCATCTACCCAGGGAGATGAGACACACTGTGTTTAGATGAAGCTAAACATTTGAGTAGATTGAAATAACCTCCACAAACACCAGGTGCTTTTTAATAGTCATATATTGACCTTTTTAAAGACTCGAACATCTGGTTGATTACATTTTTCTGTGGCTTTGGGTAGATATAGCCTTAGGCATGACAAATGTAAATAATGACAATTATAATCATATTTTTACTTTGTAACATTGACAAAGTTAAGACTGCATATGGCTGATTTGTACATATTTAAATGCATTTATAATTTTAAAGATGGAATAGGATTATGGGTGATTTCTGTGATTGTTGATTGATTTTGCTAAAATATATTTTTTGAAAAATATTGAAAAACACAGTCATTTAAGAAATAAAAAACGCAACATAAACAATTAAAAATGCAATACAGGTAAGTAGAAAGGAATTAGAAAATATAAGGAAATAGGAGGAAAAAAACAGGAAAAAGCTGGAATGTGCAGAATTGCCCAGGAAACCTTTTCAATGTATATAATATGAACACTAGTATTTTTGAGGCTGAACATGCATGAAATTTGACATTTAGATAGTATATATTTTGTTGCAATTTTTCTAATATAAGCCTAAACTATCCCCCTGAAGAAGTATTTACAGATTGTAACTTTTGAAGGTTTAATGTTTAACTGCCTTTCTGTTAATTTAATGCACAGGTAAAACAAAGGTGAATGCATAGAAGTAGGGCATTTTTTTTTTAAGAGACAGGGTCTTGCTATGTTGCCCAGCTGGACTCCAGCTCCTGGACTCAAGCCATCTTCCCGCCTCAGCCTCCCAAGTAGCTGGGACTAGAGGCATGTGCCATCGTGCCCAGGTATTTTTTAATTTAAAAATTAATTTGAAATCCTTTCAGACTTATAAAAATGTTCAGAATAGTACTTTTGCACTAACCTGATAGAATTCTCAAACACCCAAAATCTAATTTCTTAAATGTTAACATTATACATAACCACAGTACAATTATCAAATTAGGAAACTGACATTAATATAATATTATCATCTAATCTATAGTTCTTATTCATATTTTACCAATTAATGTTTTTTTTCTGGTCTAGGATCATACATTACCATTAGTTTTCATGTCACCTTTAATCTGGAACAATCCCCTATTCTTTCATTGTCTTTTACAATTTTGGCACCTTTGAAGAGGACCAGCCAGTTATTTATTTCTGTAGAATGTTCCTCAATTTAGGCATGTCAGATATTTCTTCATGATTAAGATTATGATGGAATGATGTGTTTGTTTCAGTGAAGCATCAGGAACCACATGATTAAGATTTGTCCCAATACTAGTGGATGTTAATTTTTATGACATGATTAAGGTTGTGTTTGCCTGTTTTCTCCACTCTAAAGTTATCATTTTTCCCTTTGTGATGAATAAGCATCTCGTTGGAAGATCTCATTTATATTTTTGCCCACTAATATTTTTAACCAACTGGTGAATCTTGCCTAAAATATTTATTCTTTGCCAAATAATAATTTTCTACTTCCATCATTTCTCCTATATTTATTAGTTGGAATACTAATGTAAGAAGAAGCTGTTCTTTCTCATATATTTATTTGTTTGTTTATGTCAGTATGGACTGATAGAGCCTTATCTTATTCTATGGATTATAATCCATTACTATCTTTATTGTTTTGCTGTTCAAATTATCTCAAATTTGGCTGTCAGGAGCCCCTTCAAGATGGCTCCTGTGTCCTTTGGACAAGTGCCCATTAGTTCCTTTTTAAAGCCCTGCTTTCCCTCCTGGCATTATAGGATGTTCCAGGCTCCTCTGATATTTTCACTCTCTGAGTCTTCGAATTAGCCATTTCTCTAGGAATCCTGTTGTTTTTTTATTGGAGAATGATATTTTGAATCTAAAATCTAGGTGTTAGGGGGGCTCATGGCTATTGAAGGGCCATTGCCTTTACAGCCTCTCAGCAGACAGATATTTCCTAAACCTCTCTCTCTATATATTTTATGTCAGTGCTTTCCAGCCAGGAATATATCTGTTGTTGAATAAATTATTATTACTCATTGCAATGAAGGCGGCTGCACGCTGTGGAGAATCATGAGGTACTTTAGTGAATTGACACAAAAGAACTTATTACAGTGTTTGGACTCAGGTAATTTGGGAAGAATCTAAGAAAGTGGGGCTTTGCTCTGGAATGGATGCTGTCAGGAAAGGTAATTCTCTGGGAATCTTACTGAATTTTATCTAGAAGGAGAAAAGACTAGAAGGAAGTTAAAGCTGCAATTTGAAAAGAAGCAGTCATTTATTACCTTAGCTTGGGCTGCTATGACAAAATGCCAAGGCTTAGACAATGGAAATTTATTTCCCATGATTCTGGAGGCTGGAAGTCCTAATCAGGGTGCCAGCATGGTCAGGTTATGGTGAGGGCTCTCTTCCTGGCTGGTAGACAGCTGCCTTTTTACTATGTCCTCACATGGTGGAGAGAGAGGAAGCTCATGTCTCTTTTGAAGGACAATAGTCCCACTGTGGAGGCCCCACTCTCATGACCTCATCTAAACCTGATTACCTCCCACAGGCCCCACCTCCTAATACCATGATATTGGAGGTCAGGGCTTCAACATATGAATTTTGGGAGAGCACAAACATATATAGTTCTTAACACTTATATGAGCCAAAATGGAGGGATGTTTGGTTATTTATGTGGTTTGCAGTGTTCTTGTTTTTGTCTGTGCTTAAACAAGGCTACAAAGTGTCTTGGTTTTTTGTGTATCACTTCAGAATCCTTAGGTGCTATAGGACAGTTACAGAGTGGCCTTGTCTGATATTGGTGCTCTGTGGACTCGTTTGTATTTAACAGAACATCAAGGCCTAGTTATGAATGACATCCAGTTCCTGCATGTATTCACACACAGTATTACATCCAGTTCCTGGATGTACTCCTAATGGTATTCTTTGAGATCAACTATTCTTTGCAGTTGAGACACATCAGCAAACATCTTATGTCTATGATGTGAACGAGAGAAAGGGAGGAGGCCAGTTTATACAGAGAATGAAGAATAAAGCAGATATCTGGAAAAAGCAGAGGCAAAGTCTCCACAACTTTCTAGACCTTGGTTCAATCACCTCGCTGAGTCTCTGAAATGTTTCAATTCTTGAATGCCATGAAATAGCTCTGTACCTTCATGATGGTTTCCGTAGTTTGTGTTTAGTTGGGTTTCTGGTACTTGCAACCAAAAGTTTCCTAATAAATAAAAGAGAGAAAATAATATCACAATAGTTGTAGTGTACCAGAGATAAAATTATAAAGCATACAACTTGGAGGTTATTTAGGTCTCATACCTTCAGACTCAGTGACTTCCTCTCTGAAAACAATGTTCTTGTGTGTATATCCCAAGTCTGTTCTGAATCCTGGAGGCAGTTCCGTCTCTTCACCCAGGACTGACACTCCTAGGACCTTATCTTCTGCTTTGTGTGGTAATTTCTAAATAGAATCTTCTGTTTTATAAAATTATAAAATACATTCTAATTCCAGAAAATATATTATTTATAGAAAATAAATAAGGAAAGCAAAAGTGTCTCAAATGTAACCAGTCTTATATTACGGTGTTTTAAATTCTAGTCATATATTTGTTTTAAACAAAGCTGACATGATTCTTAATTCAGAAGTTTGAATCATTCTTTTCCCTCTCCTGACATTGCATCATGAACATTTTCCCATAGCTTCAAAATATTATTCTATTGACTGCATAATATTCCACTGTGTGGTTGTTTCATAAATTATTTTATAATTCTCTTTTTGTGGGACATTTCTTTCTCCTTTACTTTTCTCTATCTTAATCTCTAATTATTTTGTAAGACTAGATTTCTTGAGATGAGATTATTGAATCAGAGTGAAAACACTTAAGAACCTTTTGCTATGCATGGCCAAATTGCTTTCTAGAAAGGTAATAACTATTTACACTTCTTATCAGCAATGCTTGAAAATGGTCATTTTATTATATTCTTATCAGCAATGATTGTCATTTGTGGAAATCTTTACCAATTTGGTAGACCAAAAATGACCATTGTACTGTTTTAGTTTACATTTATTTAATTTTTTATATTTATATGTTCATATCCTTTTCTGAACCTTTTTTTCTAGAAGAGCCTTCATTCTACCCTCAAAAATCTATTCTCCCTTTGTCTTGGGCATGTAAGATCCCAATTAGAGAATACATTTTCCAGACTCTCTTGCAGCAAGTAAGGCTATATGGCCAGATTTTCACAAATGGAAATGGAGTTGAAGATATGTCTTCAATACTCTCTTTTCTTGTTTAAAAGGAAATCCCTTGCTCGGGTTGTCTCTCCTCATTGCCACTGCATGGGAACTAGGTGAAGCAGCAACCAGCTTAAATATGCAGAAACAAACAATGCCCCAGAGAAAACAGAGCAACTAGATGAAGGAAACCTCAAGGACTACATGGAGCAGAGCTACCTGGAGGGAGCTGCTATCCTCTTTGTTCTTACATGAGAAATAAATGAAATTCTATCTTAGTGAAACCATTTATTTTGTCATCTTCTAGATAGCAGGCTAATCATTATCCTAATCTCTATTTGATGGCCTAATGTTTTTCTCAGTGATTTTTAGAGTCTTTATTTAAAGTTTTAACCCTATTTTGTATGTTACAAACATTTCTCCTAATTTGTCACTTGCTCTTTAATGTGGTTTGAGATATTTGGATAAATAACAAATAAAATCATTATATGTAAAATTCAACCATTTCCTTTCTGCCTTATTTTATTGTATTTATACTGAGATAGTTTTGTCCTGGCCTAATAATATATTTTCTTCTAGTGTGCCTAGTAAATTACACTCAACCACACACACACACACAGACACACACATATGAGAAAATACATCTGCTAGTATTTTAGCATGGCTTTGGCTAGTGTAATTATGAGTGATTTTTATTTATCCTTTCCAAATTGTCTATAAATTTGTATGCATTATTAAAATTAGAAGGGAAACTATTTTAAATGATGCTTTTGTGTGGAGTGGGTTATGCACAGAGGAGAAAATGCTACTATGGAAAAATGTCTAAGGAAGCTAACCTAGAGCAAAAGAGAATACAGAAGGTTTGTCATTCCAGGTATGTTTTTGTATATTGCCTGTGAGGAAGAATCATCTGGATAAAAGAAACTAAAAGACATTTTATTAAATGGTGAGATTGATTATGAGCTGATAATTGGCACATTAATTTCCAACTATTTTAAATTAAGTTTAACTCAGAAATGCTGTTCAGGAAGAGACTTCTTTTTCTCTAATTTGTATTTGTTACACATTAATAAATGTTAATTTAGAAAAATTCAGAAAAAAAACACTGAATAGCAAAAGGAAAATTTGGATTCATCCACATTTGTACTCTTGAGAAAATCATTACTGACATTTTAGTGAATATGCTTTTAGACCTTTTTCTAAACAAAGAGAACAAATTAAACATATATCAACTATTTTTAAAAGAAAGAATATACAACATTATTTTGTAATATCTTTTTTATTGAACTATAAATGTTTTATTAAACAGAAATTGCTCTATTTAAATAAAATTAAACTGAAATTAAATTAGTTTTGAGAACTTCATGATAGCCCTGGAGATCACTGAGAACTTGCAGGATTTTGAGAACAGGTCTGGGACTCTCTCAACCAGAAGATTCCAGACAACGGCTCAATAGTTAAGTGGCTTTGCTGACACTACCATTTTAGCTCCAGCATTCTGAATTCAAAACACATGAATCAATGCAGTTTAAAAAGCAATTGGGTCTTTAGATGCTCTTCTGTTTCTTGGCTTTAAGTTTTTTTTCAACCATTACAAATATAAAACAAGGTACCCTAATATGAATAGTCTTGTTTTCTGATTTATCTTTCTGGTTATAATTGCTTTCTCTTACCCCCAGCCTCAGTCATTTTAGCCAGGCCTAATTTTAAGTCATATGACATGCTAAATAAAATGAAACCCAGGAATTTATGCTGGAACTAGATTAAGTAGACAGTCTGCAAAAAATTAAAAATGTACAGACACTGGTAGTGAAAAGAATGAGGCTAAGACTCTAAAAGTTAAGTCTGGGTTCTGAAAGGTGGTCTAGGACCACTTGATCAGCATCATTTAGCTCATTAAATGCAAATTCTCAGGCACTCCACCCCATTACCCACTAAGGCTTAGTGAATCAGATTATCTGAAGGTGAAGCCAAGTAATTTAATCTCCAGGTGATTCTTAGTGCACAAGGTTTTAGAGCCAGAAGTTTACATTAGATGTGTAGTTTTGTCTATTTACATGACATCAAGTTACATCTAGTATTGGCCCCTTCTCTGACAGCTCAGCTGAAGCAGGTCTCATGAGTAATCATCAAGAACTTAGCAGGAACACCTTAGATGGATATACAGCTGTGAAAGCAGTATCATGAAGTGGAGCCGAGACCAGGACAGGTATGGTCAGTAGTGGTGTCCAGGACACAAGCCAGCTCAGATGATGAGACCTTTACTATAGCTATAGTCCTAAGTTACCATTAATGCCAGAATCAGTTCAAGGATGGCAACCTAGAGGAATCTAGATGTAAATAGGGGGCGCTGCCTATTATATGCAGCCATGGGAAAAGCCAATCTAGGAGAGAGATAGGTCAACTACGTTTATCAATGAATAGAAATCATGCCCTGAGACGTCCCAGGCCTGGCATGACAAAGATAGACAGCATCCTTGCTGTCAAGGATCCAACCCTCTGATGGAGAGACAGTGGGCAATTTAGTTCTCAGTATCTGAAGTGACACCTGGCAGCCAGATCCCAGCGAAGCGACATGGAGGGCAGGTGCACATGATTGGATGTAGAACAAGATTAAAGGAAAAACAGATTACATTCATTTTCTATCACTCTTCGACATTGTGTTTCAGCTTCATTTAATACAAAACCACAGGGGGGAACTGAGTTTGTTTTGAGAATGAAGAACACAGCCAGACCTCAATCATTTGGATTTTATTAGTTGGAATTTGTGATAATTGGAAAGTGGTTTAGCTGAAGTTTATCTAAGTTCATCTATGGAAGAAAAACCAAAAAAATTCCCAAACAAATGGATTTTACAAACTTGACTAAACCTGCTTTCAGACATGTTCAAAGTTCTCTATTAGATATAAGCAAATAAAAAGCTAATTACAAATCATTTTAGAGCTGTCCCTAAATTTGCTATTAGTAACTCTAGTTCATGAAAGTAATTATTTAACCTAATTCGCAATAGTTCAGGTATCTGAGAGTAATAGAACTGCATTTCTTTCTGAAGTGGCATATACTTCTTTTTCCTAGTTTTTTCAGGTTAAGGCCTTTTCTCCTCTTTCTCCCTCTCCTTCCTCCCCACTCTACCCCTTTTCATCTTCTTTCTCCTGTCTCCTTATTCCTCCTTCTCTTTTTGTTTGTCTCCTCTCTCTTTCCCTCCCTCAATCTCTCTCTTTCTCTCCATCCCCTCTTCGTCCTCTCTGCTTCTCTCACTTCTGTTTTTAACCAGCAGTTGAGAGGTTTATAACTGATGTACGCTTACCATATAAGAAACTGAGCAATCAAAATGTTTCGAAGGTGCGAAGTCTTCCTTTCTCCATTGCTTTAGGGTGAGGCTGGCAGACATTGAAAATGTCTGTCTTCTAAGCAGCAGCCTTGGGACTAGCCACCCACGATGCCTGGCAATAGGTTTAGAAGCTCAGAAGGCCAGGGGAAGTCTCTGCCTTGGCTTTTTCAACCTTTTTACATAAGCCAGTTTATAATTTAAATGACACGCATTGATTACTGTGGAAACAACCAGAATACATTTTCTTAGAGAAATAAAGATTTCTGGTGGCAATTTATTAATGCTAAATTAATCCAGAAGGAAAAAAATAATTTGCACACACATTCTTCTTGAATGAAAGAATCTTTACCATCATGAAGCTATTTTAGCTGTCTCATCCCTAATTGCCACTTGGTATCTCTCTCTCTCTCTCTCTCTCTCTCTCTCTTACAGTTTCCTAATGTTCTCTTTGTTTTTAATTGGCGATTCCAACCATCTGGATCCACTAGCTTATGAAGGCATGAGAAATAGAACATAAAAGAAAACAAACTTCACCTATTTCAATCAAGTCCACATCTGAAAGCTTCCATATTCCACAGCATTTCCTATGCTATAGGAAATATGGTGTCAGAATAAGCCAAGCTGAAAGGAGATCTGGGGATGAATGAAAAGAAAAATGCTAATGTCACGTCAGTGTTAGGGCCTGGGCTCCGAGCTATTTTTGGGAGAGGCTGTCCAGATGCACGTGAGTTTTCCATATGGTGGAGGAAAGGACCTAGAGGGTTTTATGATGAGAAGTCTGGGCCTTGCAATCAGACCCGTCTGGGTTTGAACGCTGGCTCAGCCATTTTGAATCCTGCAATTTGGGGCAGGACTTTATTTCTACCTGAAAATGTGGGAAAAACATAATTGCAATTATTAAGTGAAGGAAAATATGAAAATTCTTACACTCTGGTTTGAATGTGTCCCCCAAATCTTATGTGTTGGAAACGTAATCCCCCAGATTGATATGTTGATGAAATTTGAAGGTAAGCCATTGGGAGATAATTAGAATTTGACAAGGTCATCAGGATGGGGCCCCCATGATGGGACTGAAGACTTTATAAGAAGAGAAAAACACACTGGCAAAGTTTCTGTACATCACCATGTGATGCTTTCCACCATGTCTTGACACAATAAGAAGGCCCCCACCAGATACAATCTCTGGAGCCTGGACTTCCCAGCTTCCGGAACTATAAGAAATTTCCTATCTTTAAATGTGATCCAGTTTCAGCTATTCCGTTATAGCGATAGAAAATGGACTAAGTCGCTCGCTGCTATTTTAAAATGCTCGTTTAAAACTTGTACAGGTTGAGCATCCCTAATGAAACAATCAGAAATTGGAAATGCTTCAAAATCTGAAACTTTGAGTGCTGCCATGATGCCGCACATGGACAATTCCACACCTGACCTCATGTGATGGGTCACAGTCAGAACACAGGCCTGCAATACACAGTTTATTCGGCTTTCTTAAATAGCATGCTCGCAGCAATAAACAGAGGCATGGGTGTGGAAGGTTTTCAAAAGTTTAGCATTAAGGATACCATATATGCTATTGCCAACACATGGAACACAGTGATTATAGACAAATTGTGCATGCCTCCTACAACTTCTGGCCTGCAGTTATGTTTAGTGATAATGATGAACAAAATGGCGACTTTGAAGGATTCCATATCTCAAGTGAGAAAAACAATGATGTCAGACACCATTACATATGCAAAAAGCAGACTTTTCAAGGCCATCAATAAGCTGGAAGAGAATATTAAGAAGTTTTTAACATCAGTAAGTTGATAATGATGTTCCAGTTGTTCATTGACCCATGGTGAAATAGCCAATCAGTTCTGAATCAAGGTGATCATGATAATAGTGGCAATAAAGATGACATTGTTAACACTGCAGAAAAAGTGTTTGTAAATGGCATGATGAAATGTGTGATGGGTTCATTGAAGGACCAGAGCACACATTCATAACAAAACAAGAAATCATGTCAGTTTCTAAAACCAAAGAGAGACTTCTGAGACAAAAATTGTTGTTAATGAGGCACATGAGGAAACATTTCAAAAAGCCATCCTGCAGGATGCCTCTTCACCCCTAGAGAACCCATTTTCTGGTCCCTCAACTGCTTTTGATGTTTCTTCTTACCTCAAAAAATAAAACAGTATACAGTTAACCTTTTCATTAAAACACAGCATTGTAGGTGGAGACTGAAAGCCTGCTCTTGTTTGTTGCTGCCGCTGTTTAACATCAGATACAGGTATTCTGATGATGCTACTGTGCTATTTAGTTACCCTGAAAATATTATTTTTTCACTGTATTAATGTTATGCCATATTTTTTATTGTTGAGTACTTATGCGTGAATAAGTTTAAGAAAATGATTGCTTATTGGTTAGCACAATGCTAACAAAAATCCTTAACAGGGAGGTCTGATCTGGCCAATGAGTGAGGGAGGATTTCTCCAAGGAAGTGATACTTGAGCCGAGATCCTGAGAATGAACTGGAGTTGACTAAGAGATGAGTGGGTCAGATTAGGACAGCATAGATAATACCTGTGGCAGCAGAGCACATGTCAAGTTTGAGGAAATGAAGAGGCCAGTGTGGCAGGAAAATGATGAGGTTGGAGACGTAGGCAGTTAGCAGATGATGAAAGGACCTGTATGCAAAATGGAGGACTTTGCACTTTATCTTGTGCATTCCTCTAAGTCATGAGTGGATTGGAGAGAGAACAGAGCAGATGTGGAATATCAGTAAGTAGGCTGTTGCTATGCCCCAGAAGACAGTGACTAAAACCAGGCTGGGACTACAGAGACGAAAAAAAAGTGAATGGATTTAAAATATATTTAAGAGGCAAAATGGACAAGACTTTTATGATGCATTAGATGTGGAGGTAATGAGAAAAAGTTGTTAATGATGAATCTTAGGTTTATAGAATTTAATACAACAGAAAAACTACAATAAGCTGAGAGGGATGTATGATTTCAATTATATAGCTTTTGGAATTCAGTTTTGTACACCTTGACTTGAAGTGCCTCTGAAACATGACAGCACTAATTCTTTCTCCTCTCCTAGACTGTAAGGTCCACAAAGTCAGGGATTGTTTGTCTTTTTTTTTCTTTTTTACTCACTGCATACCTGGAAACTACATCACTTGGCACATAAAAGGTGTACAATAGATTTGTCGACTGATGCAAAGAGCTTGAATTCTTGCTTGGGGGGTGAATTTACTGAAGAACCTTAAGCAGTCAATATCAGCAGCTGGTGCCTCCCATGATGTGACCTCAGGTGTTGCCTCCTCTCTGAATTCGGAAGTTGACCTCAACATCAGCTCAGCTCCTTTCAGTTCAAACACTAAGTCAGTCTTGCTGATATAAATAGGTTTCCCAACCAATGCAACAGCTTCTTTCCAGACCTTGCTTCACCCCATGTGGTTTTCCTCTAAATTTTTGTACTGAGGTACCCATTTCGAAGTAATGACTTCTCTGCAGCCAGAGTTATTGCCATATACTCGTGAGAAATTTGGGCATGTGAAAGTTCCCCAGGTCACCTGAGGACACCTTTAAAGGTCATCATCCTAATAATATTCTTCTCTCTTTCAAAGACCATCATCCTGATAATATTCTTCTCTTATCTATTTCCAGTTAGTGTTCTCTTACTCATGCCCCAATAAATTTCCAAAGCTTATTTGTCCAACATTTACTGTTGCTTAAACATTCTGTTTAAAAATGCATTCTCCTAAGTTCAATGTACCACTGACTTCACACAAAGTATTTCTTCACTCACAACATAGAATAGTAACCCAGCAGGTCTGATTCTTGCCACTATGTCCATTATTTTCCAAACACACATTTCTTTATTCTTCAGTAAATAGCAGCTAACATGTATTAAGCATTTATTCTGCTTTATGTGTTATTCTAAGCACTTTACTTGTATTAATTTATTTAATCCTCACAACAATTCTATGAGGTGAGTATTGTTTTTATTTTACAGATGATGAAACTGAGGTAAGAAGAAGTTAAGTAACCTGCCCAAGTTCACTGGACTTGAGTATGGCAGAGCTGGGATTCACATTCAGGCGATGTGGCTTCAGAATCCTTACCCTTAAACACACTGCTGTGTGCCCTCTCTACGGCTTTCATCTTATGCTCTGATACCACCACAGAAACGTAGAATTCCAATTATATAGCTTGTTTACTCCAAAACCTTTACAGACCATTTCTTTGAATCCAAATAAAGTTTGAAAATTTATACCCTGTTATTAAAGTTCTTCCTTGGTATATTGCTGACCCACATTTTCAGCCTTGGATCCCCATCCCCTGCATGGACCTAATTCTCCTGCCAACAGCTCCTCCACAAGTTCTTGTCTCCATATCGTTGCAGGAAGCTCTCCTGCTATCTCCATGGAGAACTTTTCCTGTCCTTCAGAACCTGCTGCAAATGCCTCCTTCTTCATGAAGCTTTCCTTTATGTCCACAACTCTTCATTTGAACACTCAGAGCACCTTCTTTATGTTTCCCTTGGAATTTATTACACTTTAAAAATATATTTATTTCATGGAATCATATATACACAATTTTAGAGCTGAAATGGCCCTCAATGATCATCTAGCCCAACAGTTCTCATTCCATTAAAAAAAAACCTAATCAGGCAAAATTAACCATTTTAATTTGAGCAATTCAGTGGCATTTAGTACATTTACAATGTTGTGTAACCACCATTTCTACCTACTTCCAAAACATTTCCACTGCTCCGGAGTAAAACTCTGTACTCATTCAGCAGTTTCTTCCTATTCTCTGATCTCCTAACCTCTATCAGTCACCAACCTGTGTTTGGTCCCTATGGATTTCTCTCTCCTAGGTATCACTGCTATGGTTTGGATATGGTTTGTTTGATCACACCAAAGCTCATGTTGAAATCTGATTGCCAGAATGACAGTGTTGGGACTCCTCTGCAGCCAGAATTATTGTCATATATTCACGAGGGGCCTAGTGGGAGGTGTCTGTTATGGTGCCAGACCCCTTATGATGGCTTGGTGCTGTTCTCGCAGTACTGAGTTCTCAACTTTTGCAAGACTCATGGATTAGTTCCCAACAGGAGGGGTTTTTATAAGCAAGGATGTCCCCAGGTTTCCCCTCTTTTCATGTGTCTGCTTCCCCTTTGACCCTCTCTGCCATGTTGTGGAGCAACACAAAAGCTCTTGCCAGAAGCAGAACCATGACTTAAGCTTCTCAGCCTGTAACTGTGGGCTTAAAAAAACCTCTTTTCTTTATGATTACCCAGTTTCAGGTATTATTTTAGCAAAAATTAGACTAAGACAGTCACACAATAGAATCATGCAACATGTGGTCTTTTGTGTCTGGCTTCTGTCCCTTTGCATGTTTTGGACATTCATCTACATTGTACCATGTATCAGTTCATTTCTTTTTATGGCTGAATAATCTACTGCATGTATACACCACAATTTGTTTATGCTTTCATCTATTGATGGATACTTGGGCTATTTCCACTTTTTGGCTATTGTGAATAGTGCTCTTGTGCAACAAATATTTGGAGTTGCCTGCTCTGCCATTTTGCTGACATCCAGCCTCATTCCTTTTTAAGATGAATTTTCTTAGAGGCCAGATGTATAAAATAGACAGAAATAGAGCTTCTCTGGTAGAAGCTGACATGTTATCCTTGTTCCTCAAGTCAAACCACAGGGCCCTTCCATGGAATTCTCTGTGGAGCCCAATTTGAAGAATTCTGAATTAGTTCATCTCCTCCATATAATACATCGATGAAGAAACTGAAGCCTAGACCCTACACTAAAACCAAACACCTGGTTGGTGTCAAAATGTACCTTCATCCCAATATTTTTACATAACAAGAACATGATGTAGCAGGAATTAATGAAATTGGGAGTAGATGACACCTTTTCAAGATACATAATTTATAATAAATATCACAAACCTTTGTTCAGGAAGACTTACAGAAAACCCAAGAAATAAAACCTGACCTCCTAAACTAACTCTCACAAATATGCTTTTCTTTTATTATGAGAGATTTACATACTTCATTCTGTGGAAGTGGTTAAATTTACAATATAGTACAATGTAATACCTAGATTCATATTGGAATCACTAAGAGAAACTTTAAAAGTTCTGATGTCTGGCTCCAACCTGAGCTCAGTTAAAGGAGAATTTCTGGGGGTAGGAACCAGGCATCAAAGTTGAAAAAGATCTCCCCAGATGATTTTAATGTGCAGGCAGGGTTGAGGATCTATGGCTTTGGCTGTTGCTGCAAGCACATTATACTTGCTCACCCTCCCTGGGTATTCAGCTTACCCTTTTTGTGAGGCCAAGCTTATGTGCCACAGGACATTCTGTGCTATTTCAGTTCATGCTGCTCTCACCCTTCTGAAAAGAAGTGGGACATTTGTGAGTTTCGCTTATTCTTCTTTTAATCACATGCTGGCAAGCATTTTTTCTTGGCTCTTGCACATGTTCACCTTGTGTCCCAACTAGAATACAAGATCTTGGTGATCAGTAATAGAATATGTTCTCTCTCTCTCTTTTTCCCCTATCTTCCTTGCTCCCCTCCTCAATTCTAAGCTGCTAGTCCCAAGACCTGTGTTTCTTTGTTATTAAATCACAGTTATCCTGCTATTGATCTAAAGCTGAAGCAGAATGTATTTATGGGATAGTTCTGAACACTAAATGTGATACAAAGTGAATGTGAATGTTCTTTGGAAAGCATGACATACTATGTACACACGAGAGATCATATTGCTATTGTAGCTAGGAAGAAAAACAACCATCTCTATTTTTGCTTCTTAGGAATTACACTATAGGGAATTATTGAAGAAAGAAGGATTTCAACTCTCTTTTTGGTTTAACTCAAGTTGGCTTCAACAAAAAAGGGCACTGATATTTTATGATTATCAGGGGATTCACGTATCTCATTTAATCCTTGCCACAGTTTATTAGGGGTTACCTACATTTTATAACTGAAAAAATATATAAATGTTTAATGCCCCAGTTCTAAGTGGTATAGTTTGAACCCGGGTTTGTCCCATTCTAAAATCCATACCATTTTATCCTACCCATATGTTTCTTTAATATTAACATTTAGAGTGCATAACAGTGACAATTGTGTGGGTAGGATTTCTTATTCCAAGTAGTATAAAATCGATATGATAGAAAAGGGTACATTTTCATGGAATAGGAAAAAAGGAATTTCCTGCAAAATAAATATAAATGGGACTAAAAGATGGAGTGGTCTTGGTGGAGAATTATCTTCTCTTGACACAGGTTCACCATCCACAACTCAGATCTCCCTTGTAGAGTGGTCCTTGGGGCAAGAGCCTTCTGCCTTTTCCCCACTCTTTCTATGGGTCCACTTATTGCATCCAGTATTCAATGCAAGATTCTCAGAGGGGAAAAGCAAGGAATAGGAAGAGAAAAATAAATTGTATTTGTAGTTCTGACTATCTCTGTTTGCTTTAAGTATAGAGATTCTGGCCAGTCTTTGAACAGGAAGCATAATAGCTACCCATCTATAGTGACTGGAGAGACTCCAGGATGACCTCCTTATCCAAAAATATTTCGCCAAAAGCCCTAGAATTCCCAAACTAGGCGCATATCTATAGCTCTTGGAAGGTTTGTAGGGATCCAAAGAGTGTCTAATAGAAATAAAATGGCTTTGAAAGAGCTGGCGACTCAAGCTGATCATGATGGGAACCAGGATGGGGCAGGAAGAGCATCAAGCAAAGCCTTCATTAAAGAGCAGAAGCAAAAAGAGACTAGGACTGAAGACTCACTCCTCCATGTCCACCCCAATCAATCCTTGACATTACATCCTCCTATAAGACTGGCTGAGAGCCACATGCAATGAACAGCTCACTCCAGACACTCCTTGAATGGGCCACTCTTGAACAACCAAGGCCAGATCAAAACACTCCTTCTTAGGTCCAGACTCCTGAAACAATCCTTCCTAGCAGGGTAATGAATGGGAGGCTTCTGGCAAGCACCTGAGGACCAACTCCTGTCTTTCGGACTTGGGTTTCAGGAAACAGCTTGGGAGGATGCTATCCAGGCCTAAGTAACTCCTGGGACTTGTCTTGGAATCCGTGGGAGAGTGAAGGCTAAGAGGGATTAAAGCTGCCCTGAAACCCTGTAGCCTGAGGGGAATTTGGGAGTGGAAGAGGAGGGGGTAGATCAGCTCAGCTGCTTCACCTTCCCAGATAATCCATCACTGCCACTGTAGCTGCAGGAAAGCAATCCCACAGACTGTCTGCCTGGAAGGAAGGATAACCTGCCACGGGCTTTTATTTTCAGTTGAATTATAACACTTACCTTCTCATATGGCCTTTCATCAAGAGGTTTAAGTGTTTTTCTTTCTGTGGGTCTTACTGGCCACGTTTCCCCCATTCATTATCAGCACAGGGGCCTGCCATGCTGAACCTGTGTGCAGCCCTCCCCTCCCCCAATTCCCCATCCCCCGGGGGCTCCTTAGCAGCAACAATTTTCTAATTCAGAACAGACTCTCCTCTGAGCAATTGATCTTATAAGTACATTACAACTGGCTTTAACAATAGTTACCAAAGGCAGGGATTTCAGAAACAAGATGTGAACTCTCCCAAAAAATGGGGACAATAAATACCTCCAATATCTTTGCATTTACCTGTAGTATTTGACTATGTGTCTTGGGAATTTTCTGTGTGGCTGGGGCTAGGGGGAAGGGTAGCCTGGGAGTTTGGAGTCATTTGAAGATGATCATTAATAGGCTTTTTACCTTTAGGAGAGAGAACTGTGGCTTGTTTAGGGCCAGTAGAGTATGAGCTCCTGAAATCAGAATTCCTATATTCTAGTCCTGGCTTATCATCAAATTATTATTTATTTTTAATAAAATTTTAATTGACAAATAAAAATTGTATATATTTATGGGGTACAATGTGGTGTTCTCATGAATGTATACATTGTAGAAAGATTAAATAAAACTAATTAATATATTTATCACCTCATCTATGTAAACCAAAAATAAGTCTAAGACCCCCCAGCCATCTGAATGGACCTTCCTCTCAGCCAAGGGCATTCCAGAGTTAACCTGAAAAACTAGTTCAGGCCATGATGGGAGAAGGGGTTGGACATGCCTTGTCATACCACTCCAGTGTTAATGTCAACACAGACCTTAAGTCTGATAAGAAGCATTTACATCTGTTTTCTCTGAATTTTCTCTGAAGCCTGTTACTTGGAGGCTTCATTTACATGATAAAACCTTGGTCTCCATAACCCCTTATCATAACCCAGATATTCCCTTTTATGAATAATGACTCTTTCAACCAACTGCTAATCAGAAAATGTTTAATCTACTCTATGATCTGGAAGTTTCCCATTCAAGTTCTCCTGCCCTTCTGGATTGAACCAATGTAAATCTTACATGTATTGATTGAAATTTTATGTCTTCCTGAAATGTATAAAACCAGCTGTACCATGACCACCTTGGGTACATGTCCTCAGGACCTCCTGAGGCCATGTCACAGGTGTATCCTTAATCTTGGCAAAAAAGCTTTATAAATTGACTAAGACCTGTCTCAGATACTTTTAGGTTCACACCTACTTGTCATTTATTTATAGTGAGAATGTTTAAAATACACTCCTATAGCAATTTAAAAATTTACATTATTATTAACTATGGCCACCAAGCTGTGCACTAGATGACTAAAATTTATTCCTCCTACGTAACTGAAACTTTGTACCCTTCGTCGATCTCTCCCCTTTTCTCATCCCCCTACCCCAACCTCTGATAACCACCATTCTACTTTCTGCTTGTATGAGTTTGACTTTTTCAGATTTCACATGTAAGTCAGATCATACAATATTTGTCTTTCTGTGCCTGACTTATTTCTCTTAGCATAACGACCTCCGGGTTCATCCATGTTGTCACAAATGACAGGACTGCCTGTTGCTGGGGATGTAAATTAATGCAGCCATTTTGGAAAACAGTACAGATGTTTCGTGAAAAACTAAAAATAGAATTACCATATAATCCAGCAATTCTACATCTGGGTGTATATCTAGAGGAATTGAAATCAGTAATTCAAAGAGATATCTTCACTCCCATGTTCATTTCAGCATTATGCACAATAGCCGTAATATGGAATCCTAAGTGTCCATCAATGAATGAACAGATAAATAAAATATGGTGTCTATACACAGTGAAATACTATACAGCCTTAGAAAAAAATTCCAGTCCCAAATTATTTATATAACCACAAACAAGTGATTTTAACCTTCCGAACCTCAATTTCCTCATCTGAAAAGTAGAGACAATAACAGTACCCACTTTATAAGATTGTTGTAAGGATTAAATGGTCTAATCCATGTAAAAGCTCCTACCACAGAGTCTGATGCAGGATGTGTTTGATAAATGTTTGGCATTATTGTTTATTCATTAATTAATTCATTTATTCACAAAATGGTTATTGATCATTTATATGCTTGTTGGTTTTACCTCCAAAATAGATCTCAAATCCAATCACTCCTCTCCTCCTCCTCTGTCAATATCCTTCAGCAAACTGCAGTTATCTTTGAGGTCAGCTTTCCTAGTAATCATTTAAGCTTCCACTCTTGCCCCTGTCAAGTTCACTCCACAGCAGAGAGGTATTTTAAAAAGGTAAAGCTAACTACATTGTTTTCATGCTTACAACAGGCTAAAAGGCCTTGCCTGATTTTTCTACTGCATACTTCTACAATTATTCTATTCTCTCTCTCTCTCCTTCCCTCCCTCCTTCCTCTTTTTTTCTTCTATTTCTCCTCCACCTTCTCCTTTACCTTACTTACCCTTCCTCACCACTTTCTTACTCCCTCACTGATTAAAGTCTAGTCACACTGACCTCTCATGTCAGAGGTTGGCTAGTGTCTCAACAAACTGGTTCTCTGAATGCTCAGTTAGGCTGAAATCCCAAGATGATGTTTTTCTTTACCTCTTGCTGTTAGGTGTAGCCACTGACCACACCTGCCAGTGAAATGAGAATAGAAGAGGCAGGCACTACCTCTAGGCCTAAACCATAAAGGCCCTCCATGCACAGTTTTTTCTTTGTCTGTTAGCTGGATGCTGATGCTGATGAAAACCTTAGCCATCTACTCTCTTGGCAAATTACCAGTATATATTACAATGTTGTTTACTATAGTCCTCATGCTGTACATTAAATCTCTATATTTATTCATTCTTCATAACCATAAGTCTATACCTTCCTCTTATCACACACACACACACACACACACACACACACACAATGAAAGGTAACTATATAAGGTGATAGTTACAGTAATTTGCTTGACCGTAGTAGTCCCTTTACTATGTATATGCATATCAAGATAAACATATCAAAACATCATGTTGCATACCTTAAATATACACAATGTAAAAAAGAAAAAACCCTCAGTCATCAATTATACTTAAAGTAAATAAAGAATACATTTTTACTCTGTTAAGTCACAGAGATATTAGAGTTTATTATAAGAACTAGCATTATCTTAACTGTATGTCCTTCTTCTGTTTCTCAAATTCTTCAAGCTTTCAGTCACTTCAGCTGCTATTCCCTCTGCCTGGAGAATATTTATTCCCCAGCTTTTTGTATGGCTGGGTCATGGCTTCTTCACATCTCAGCTCAAATATTAACTCCTCAGACAGGTTTTCCATAATACCCCAAACCAAAATGTCTGTCCTCTGTCTCTTATGACCTTCAGAAAATTTCTCTCAGGTTATATTTCCTTTTTTATTGTCTGTCTCATTAACCAGAATGTAAGAAACAGGTTCCCAATACCTGTCTTGTTCACTATGGAATCCTCAGGGACTAGAATATTGCCTGGAAATAAATAAATAGATTGAATGAACAAGTGAAAAAATAAAGTATTTAATAGGTGCTAAATATTACCTTAGGAAGAAAGAAATGTTTCATCTATTTCATGATAAGAAAATGAAAAATTTTAATAACAAATTCCCAAGAATGTACACACTTATAAACAACAGCTTATGAGAAACATGGAATCAAATGAGATGGAAAACATTTAAGAGAAGAACTGAAACAATAGAGAAAACTTGCAAGAATCTACAGGGCAGTTAATTATTATCTCCATTTTATAGATGAGAATATAGGCTCAGAGAATTTTCTCCACTTTGTCAAAAATTACACAACTGGTAAACGGTTGAGTTGGGACTATAGGCTAGTCTTTTGACTCCAAGTGCTATGTTCCTAGCATAAATATATAACTTCATTTCCTGCTCAACTCCTGTCCATCTTTCAAGATACAGTTTAAATATCACTTCTTCCTGAGATTTTTCTCTGATGTATATAATACATACCTCTACTCATGAGGTACTAATCAATAAATGTGTTGCTATATTGTGCAATAATTATACTCTCACTAGATTCCTTCATTTATTTTTTATTCATTCTTTCATTTATCCACTTATTCATTCAACAAATACTGTCTACTGTCAATATGTGCTAGATGCTGTGGCTAGAAGAGTAAATAAGAAATAATTCTTGCCCTTGAGAAAATCACTAAAACTAATGAGTGATAGGTAACCAAGCTTCTTGGATCATAGAGAGAGAAGTGGAGCCTGGTTCTTAAATGAAACTAAGCTTACCAGGTTGGACTTCCCATTCCTGGACTCATTTTACAGAAGGGAAACAGTAACTTCTATATTATTTAAGTTACTTTAGATTGGTCTATTTTACTAGTAACCAAATACTATTCCTAATTTATACCTGGACCTAGTATGAAATATTTAATTAGAAAAAAGTATGTTCATTTAACCATAGTTTTCATATGTCTGCAAAAAATATGTAAATGAAATAATTTATAGAACCAGACAGGGAAAATGACTACATATCTGTTTCAATTTAACTGAATTGCATAAACTAAATAGCTGCTGTTCATGTTAAGAACATCAAGTTCCTATGCATTATTCTTTACTGCTGTGTCCAAATGATGTGGTAAATAGCATGGGAGCTTTTAGCATACAGTCTATCCCATTCACTTGGGATACACCAGAAGGCCTCCAGTGGCAGAATCATGATGACTGGGTGCCCATCCCATGATGTCATCACATAAATTTGATACACCCTTTAGTTCATACAGTTCATCTCTGCTCTGGAGAAGGGATAAGTTTCTTGCTAGTTCATTCATATCTTCATTGAAAATTGGCATCTAATGGGGGAAAAGTCAGAATTCTTGGATGTCTCTTGATGTTGAACAGACCCCATACTTTAAAAGGTAGAGGCTTCCAGGGTCTGGAGTCTGTAAGGGGAGAGCAAGTGCAATGGCATTTTTCCTTTCAATAAGTATTTGGTGGTAGGAAAAATGGAGTTAGAAAAGGGGATTCCCATTTGTGCTTAGAACAATTGTACATCAGTCTTCTGTGAAGAATTTTTGTCTTGTCCCTTCTAAGTGCATCCAGCAACAAGTTCTTCCCCACTCCCACTCCTTAATTTCTAAGCACTTATTTATCTTAAGGTATTTAGGGGGCATAGAAAGTTGAACACATGTGTTTCTGTTTAATTTATAATTAACTTTTCAAACGTGTTATCTTGTAAGAACCATTGGATCTTATTTGTAGCCTTATTTTCTCAAAAACAGGAAGTCCCATTTGTCTGAAGTGAATTAAAATTCCCTGGCATTCCAGTTGGTTTTGAACTTAACAGCACAGTTGAACAGAGTGATTGGGAAATTGGGTATAGGTCTCAGAAACAGAGTTGGATTCAGACTGCTAGACTCAGCAAATATTTCTCATTTGTTTTAAGAAAATAAAATGGTATCTTGATTCCAAAATTCACTTTTATAGGAAGCTTCAAATGAAAAAACCAGTGACCAAGCTAAATGACAAAACTGAAAAGATGGTAGTTTGAACTACTTTGAAGAAACAATGCTGTTTTAAATTAAGCTGCCTTGAAAGTTTGTGTGAACCACAGAACCTCTCGGTATCTTAGTTTACCAGCTGGCTCAGAAACCTAAAAGAATAAAATTGGTAAAAAAATACAATGTTGTTTAAACTACCATTTGGAATAAATATTTCTTTTGCTTTGTTAAATTCAAGAGAGATTTCTTCTTGAGCTGAGATGCTCTTCTCCACTTATGGAGGTATGAACACCAGAGACATAGCTTAGGGTACAACCGGGTTGCTATATCATGGCACTCGTCTTTTGTCTGGGCATTAACCTTGCCGATGGAGAGAAAAAGCATGGGGTTGGGGAAGGCCTGGTGGGACAGAGGCAGTATTTCCTCCTGTGAGCAAACCAGCCATTCTAGGATGGGAAAAGGAAAGTGAATGCATCATCCTCTCTTAAAATCCATTTGATTCCTGAAGGCAAGGAACTGAATGATTAGCAGTAAGCAACTAAGAGGGTAATTGTCTCCATGTTTTGATGTGCATTATAATAGTTGCAAATCAGTGTCCTTGTAAGTTTAGCCACAGAGGAACTTTCCACCTGAGTCAGTGGAAGACTGAATATTTCAATTATAGTCATATATATATATATATATATATATATATATATATATATGTATATATATATATGTATATATATATGTGTATATATATATAACTATATATATAACCATATATAACTATATATAACTATATATAACTATATATGTATAACTATATATAACTATATATATAACTATATATAACTATATATAAATATATAATTGAAATATATTATATATTTCAAATATAGAGGCCTATATGTGTATGTGTGTATATATATATATGCAGTCATATAGTCTATATAATGTGGCATTGACACTCCTTTACTGAGAAGCAAAGTTCATATTCCCTCCCCTTAAACCTGGGTGGACCTTTGTAACTGCCTTGATCAAGCATGTGACAGACGTAATGTTCCATGACTTCTAACATCAAGGTGCAAAAGGCAATGTTGCTTCTGTCTTGGCTTTCTCTCACTTTGGATGCTCAATCTTCAAACAAGCCAATGAATCTAAAGGCAGCACAAATTTGCTCACACATAGATACACATGGGCTGGGCATGGTGGCTTACGCCTGTAATACCAGTGCTTTGGGAGGCAGAGGCAGGAGGACAGCTTGAGGCCAGAAGTTCAAGACCAGCTTGGGCATGGTGAGACCCCACCTGTACAAAACAAAAACAAAGATAACACATGGAAAGGCCCATGTGGATAGAAACTGAGACTCCCAGTCAACAGCCAAAATCAGCCACCAGATGTGTGGTCAGAGAGCCATGAGATGTCTCAGTTCTCCACCCTAAGAGCCAGCCCAGTGACAACAATAGGAGCAAAGATTAACTATTTCTACTGAGCCCTATACAAATTGTGGATTTTGTAGCAAAATAAATGATGTAACAATTATAGAATTAGATAACAGGAATAGGGATAATTAAATTTAAGTCTACAGAGAACTTCCAATATAGTTAGTATCCCCAGGGGATTGATGCAGGATTCCCCAAAATATCAAAATTCATGGATGCTTAAGTTCTTTATATAATCCCTATAAATATAAACACTTATAACCTACACACATCTTCTTGTATACTTTAAATAATCTCTAGATTGCTTAAAATACCTAATACAATGATAATGCAATGTAATAGCTGCTATGCTATACATTTTTTATTTGTGTGGTTATTTTTTATTTTTTATTTTTTATTATTTTTCATCTGTGATTGGTTGAACCAATGAATGCAGAACCTGTGGATATGAAGGGCTGACTCCCTAGTGTTTATACCAATCTCTCTTATTACTATAGGCCTTAAACTCAAGCTAAAAAAAGGTAGTATTAACATAATATATTTTTAGTGACCTCAAATTGTGTGTGTTTGCCTGAATGTGTCAGCCTCACTTATTTTGTCCATAAAAACCAAGGAGAAAGTAAAAGTAATTATCCTTGCATGACTTTTAAAAGAACCTGTTTAAAATGAGCTACCAGGTAGAGGAACAGAAAAGAAAGAACCCTTTGGTAATGGTATTTACATTTCCAGTAGCTACTAGCCCGCTGTTTGAGTAACTGTTCTAATTTTTCAATCATAAACCAAATTTACCTTTGCAGCAAAACAACTTGGTCAGTTTTTACCTAACGGCAATTCTGTAAAATTTTAAATAAAAGGGAAAAAAGCCCACTAATTCCAACTTTACCAGGTGCTTTTTACACAGTGAAAAAACTTTATCCCTAAATTAATAAAATCCACAGGCTACCAACAGAAATCCAGTTAATAAAACTATTCCTAAAAAGAAAACCTGAAAAATAAAACTTTAAAACTATTTAATTTGTGAGGTGTGGGGATAACAAGAGTGGCAGAAAGTGCACAAGAGAGAAGGTGACACGAATCTCAGCCCAGTGGTTTGGATGTGGTATAAAGTCAATGAAAGAACATCTGTGGTGATGATGAACCATGATAATGGTGAGGAATATAGCTAGATCACTTAGAAGATTATGTATTATCCTGAAATTACTTTCATTAAGCCTTACCATGCACTTAGAGTTATGGAGTTTCTGGATCAGTTCCTTGAAGAAACCTAGTCAGAGCCAACTCTGCCCTACCCTCTTGATGTAGCTGCCATGTTTCCAGCAGTCACAGGCCCTTGTCACCGTGTTCACCTACATGGCTTATGTATGTCTTGAACCAATACTTCATTTTTACAACCTGCTTTCCAACTTCTCCCTGATCTTCTTGGTGACTAACTACTATTTTTATTTTCCTTATTCAGTTTACACTAAGATAGTGGACTTGGGAATTAATATTTCTCCTTTGGCTCTGATCTGTGGCTTCCCTCTGAAACTATACTTTGATCTCGCCCATTTAATAATGCTGTTTCCAGTCTCCCTAGTCCAGGGCTGCCCTTCTCTCCTATTCTTGGCATCACTCCATGTGGCTAGCACCCCTGGCTCTACAAATGGGATGTAGTCAGGAACCGATTTAACAATCATTAAGACAGATTCTTACTGCATAGATATGAAACCAAGACCCCAAAATGATGGAAGCCCTGTATTGGGTCACATACTCAGCATCAAAAGGATCAAACTTACCCCTGATCTCTTGAATCTACTCATTTTCTAATTTTATCTTTATATATCACTGTGTTTTCTTCCTTACACTTGAAACTTGGTCTATCTTGGACTATTCAAAGGACTCAATAGCCAGTTCTTTGTAGGAAGATGCAATAAGAGTTCACAAAATGTTCTCAGACTTACACATTTTAAATATTATTTCCTACAGGTGTACACATGGTTAGAACTGATAACCTGCCTGCCTGGCCTGTAGTTGAATCTAGAGTTTGATATCGCATTAACACTACACTCCCCTAAAGTCAAACTGATCTTTATTTTTCTTTTTCAGTTTTCCATATGAAAAACTGGTTAAAGACAAAAACTTACTGCATACTGCAACCAAGTAGAATATTTGATTCTAATAGAAAGTTGGCATAGACAACTTCACCATGGTTCAAGTTTATATCCACCAAAATTAAGGGTTCTTTATAATTTTTCTGACCACTGTACCCAAGCCCAGAGAAGATACTGACTGGGAGGAGGAGAGATGCCACTTCTGGGCAGCTAGCACTGCAGGGCCCTTCCCCAGGAGCTTACTGATAAAATGTACTCTACTGGAGCTCTGGGATTTAACAAACCTGTGTGGATCACAATGGAGATTTTATACTTAAAGCCTGCAAGTTGAACATGACAGACTAAAAAATGTGCCCAATTGGAATAAAATACCTTGATATTAAAAAATTACTATTCCAAGAGAGTACTATTCCAAGCAAAAGAGAATCAAGCCAGATGAGATGTAGAAAGTTTAGAAGTCATCACTTCATCTTAAAAAGTAAAAAGCTGAACAAATTGCCAGTCAACTCTTCTTAAATCTGTCAGAGAAGTGAGGTCACAAGGCAAATTGCTGTTCCCAAAATTGGAGAGACAGATAAGCAGAAACAGAGAATTGTAACTTAGCAAAGCAGAAACCTCCAAAAGAACCAATACTGGGGAAGGAAAATCTAAACTGTAATCTACAAATTTCTAGAGGCTCAGTGTGGACAACTCTGAAAGTTAGAAACTCCAGGAGGACCTAGTTATAGCAGGGGTCCCCATAATTTTGTGAGTTTTACTTACGATATCTCTACTAGGTCCTCACAGTGAATTTTAAAGAAAACTTCCCTTGCAATTCCTGCAGGGGTAGGGTAAAAGGACCAATTTTGAAATACACCAGAGTATTCCATTTTCTTAACAAAACCTGTCCTTTGGGAAATCTATTTAATCAGAGCTTCACCTGCTGAGATTTTATTTGAACTTAACCTACCGGGGGTGGGGGGAGGTGTGGGGAAATGCATATATGTTTATAACTATTACATCTTCCTTTTGATTTGATCCCTTTCTTTATTATATAATGAACTTCTTTGTCTTGTGTATCAATTTTTGAGTTAAATTCTATTTTGTCTAAGTATGTATAGCCCATTTCTTTCTTTAGTTACTATTTGTATAGGATATCTTTTTCACTTTCAGTATGTCCATAAATCTAAAGTGGGTCTCATGTAGATAGAATATAGTTGTATCTTGTTTTTATCCATTTAGCCACTCTGTGTCTTTTGATGGATTATTTTGATCCATTTACATTTACAGCTAAAGTAATTATTGATAAGTAATGACTAACCTTTGCCATTTTCTTAATTGCTTACTGTCTCCTTTGTAGTTCTTTTGTTCATCTCTTCTTCTCCTGCTGTCTTCATTTGATATTTGATAAATTTTTGTAATACCTACTTTGATTCTTTTTATCTTTTTTGTATCAACTATGTTTTTTTCTTTGTTGTTACTACAAGGCTTGAATAAAAGTTCATATTGTTATGGGTCTATTTTGAGCTGGTAACAATTTAACCTTGTTTGCACACAAAAACTCTATACATTTACTCCCTCTACCTCCTCCACATTATGTTCCCAATATTGAAATTCACTTATTTATATTTTGTATCCATTAACCAACATTTTTGGTTATATTTTTCTTAATACTTTTGTATTTCAACTTTTATATTAGGGTTAAAAATATTCACACACCACCATTACATTTATTATATAATTCTTCATTTGTCTGTATTTTTTACCAGTGAGATTTATGCTTTTACATGTGTTCATGTTGCTATTTAGGATCCTTTCTCTTCAACTTGAAGAGTTACCTTCATCTTTTCTTGTAAATCAGGTCTAATGGTGATGAACTCTTTCAGTCTTATTGTTTGTTTGGGAAAGTATAGATCACTCCTTCATTTTGAAAGTATAGTTTTGCTGGTTATAGAAATCTTGGTTGACAAGATTTCTTTTTTTTCTTTAAGCTTTAACTATATCATCTCACTCCTTTTTGGCATGCATTTTTTCTGCTGAGACATCCATTTATTGAGAGTCTTCTGGAGATTCCCCTGTGTGCAACAAGTCATTTTCTCTTGTGCTTTCAAAAATTTTTTTTGTCTATGACTTTTGACAATTTAATTATAATATCTTGATGCAGGCCCCTTTAGGTTTAATCTACTTGGGGTTTTGGGCTTCATCAATTTGGATTTTCATTTCTTTCTACAGATTTGGAAATTTTTCAGTCACTATATCTTTAAATAAGCTTATAAGCTATTTTCTCCTTTCTCTCACTCTTTTCTTTCTGGTAGTATTATAATACATATGCTAGCTTACTTGATGGTGTCCCATAACCTCACTTGATGGTGTTCCATAATTCCCAAATGCTTTCTTCACTCACCTTTTATCCTTTTTTTTTAATTTAAGTTTTAGGGTACATGTGCACATTGTGCAGGTTAGACACATATGTATACATGTGACATGCTGGTGCACTGCACCCACTAACTCGTCATCTAGCATTAGGTATATCTCCCAATGCTATCCCTCCCCCCTCCCCCCACCCCACCACAGTCCCCAGAGTGTGATATTCCCCTTCCTGTGTCCATGTGATCTCATTGTTCAATTCCCACCTATGAGTGAGAATATGCGGTGTTTGGTTTTTTGTTCTTGCGATAGTTTACTGAGAATGGTGATTTCCAATTTCATCCATGTCCCTACAAAGGACATGAACTCATCATTTTTTATGGCTGCATAGTATTCCATGGTGTATATGTGCCACATTTTCTTAATCCAGTCTGTCATTGTTGGACATTTGGGTTGGTTCCAAGTCTTTGCTATTGTGAATAATGCCACAATAAACATACGTGTGCATGTGTCTTTATAGCAGCATGATTTATAGTCATTTGGGTATATACCCAGTAATGGGATGGCTGGGTCAAATGGTATTTCCAGTTCTAGATCCCTGAGGAATCGTCACACTGACTTCCACAATGGTTGAACTAGTTTACAGTCCCACCAACAGTGTAAAAGTGTTCCTATTTCTCCACATCCTCTCCAGCACCTGTTGTTTCCTGACTTTTTAATGATTGCCATTCTAACTGGTGTGAGATGGTATCTCGTAGTGGTTTTGATTTGCATTTCTCTGATGGCCAGTGATGATGAGCATTTTTTCGTGTGTTTTTTGGCTGCATAAATGTCTTCTTTTGAGAAGTGTCTGTTCATATCCTTCGCCCACTTTTTGATGGGGTTGTTTGTTTTTTTCTTGTAAATTTGTTTGAGTTCATTGTAGATTCTGGATATTAGCCCTTTGTCAGATGAGTAGGTTGCAAACATTTTCTCCCATTTTGTAGGTTGCCTGTTCACTCTGATGGTAGTTTCTTTTGCTGTGCAGAAGCTCTTTAGTTTAATTAGATCCCATTTCTCAATTTTGCCTTTTGTTGCCATTGCTTTTGGTGTTTTGGACATGAAGTCCTTGCCCATGCCTATGTCCTGAATGGGAATGCCTAGGTTTTCTTCTAGGGTTTTTATGGTTTTAGGTCTAACATTTAAATCTTTAATCCATCTTGAATTGATTTTCCTATAAGATGTAAGGAAGGGATCCAGTTTCAGCTTTCTACATATGGCTAGCCAGTTTTCCCAGCACCATTTATTAAATAGAGAATCCTTCCCCCATTGCTTGTTTTTCTCAGGTTTGTCAAAGATCAGATAGTTTTGGGTACGCGGCATTATTTCTGAGGGCTCTGTTCTGTTCCATTGATCTATATCTCTGTTTTGGTACCAGTACCATGCTGTTTTGGTTACTGTAGCCTTGTAGTATAGTTTGAAGTCAGGTAGTGTGATGCCTCCAGCTTTGTTCTTTTGGCTTAGGATTGACTTGGCAACACGGGCTCTTTTTTGGTTCCATATGAACTTTAAAGTAGTTTTTTCCAATTCCGTGAAGAAAGTCATTGGTAGCTTGATGGGGATGGCATTGAATTTGTAAATTACCTTGGGCAGTATGGCCATTTTCACGATATTGATTCTTCTTACCCATGAGCATGGAATGTTCTTCCATTTGTTTGTATCCTCTTTTATTTCCTTGAGGAGTGGTTTGTAGTTCTCCTTGAAGAGGTCCTTCACATCCCTTGGAAGTTGGATTCCTAGGTATTTTATTCTCTTTGAAGCAATTGTGAATGGGAGTTCACTCATGATTTGGCTCTCTGTTTGTCTGTTCTTGGTGTATAAGAATGCTTGTGATTTTTGTACATTGATTTTGTATCCTGAGACTTTGCTGAAGTTGCTTATCAGCTTAAGGAGATTTTGGGCTGAGACAATGGGGTTTTCTAGATATACAATCATGTCATCTGCAAACAGGGACAATTTGACTTCCTCTTTTCCTAATTGAATACCCTTTATTTCCTTCTCCTGCCTAATTGCCCTGGCCAGAACTTCCAACACTATGTTGAATAGGAGTGGTGAGAGAGGGCATCCCTGTCTTGTGCCAGTTTTCAAAGGGAATGCTTCCAGTTTTTCCCCATTCAGTATGATATTGGCTGTGGGTTTGTCATAGATAGCTCTTATTATTTTGAAATACGTCCCATCAATACCTAATTTATTGAGAGTTTTTAGCATGAAGGGTTGTTGAATTTTGTCAAAGGCTTTTTCTGCATCTATTGAGATAATCATGTGGTTTTTGTCTTTGGCTATGTTTATATACTGGATTACATTTATTGATTTGCGTATATTGAACCAGCCTTGCATCCCAGGGATGAAGCGCACTTGATCATGGTGGATAAGCTTTTTGATGTGCTGCTGGATTCGGTTTGCCAGTATTTTATTGAGGATTTTTGCATCAATGTTCACCAAGGATATTGGTCTAAAATTCTCCTTTTTGGTTGTGTCTCTGCCCGGCTTTGGTATCAGAATGATGCTGGCCTCATAAAATGAGTTAAGGAGGATTCCCTCTTTTTCTATTGATTGGAATAGTTTCAGAAGGAATGGTACCAGTTCCTCCTTGTACCTCTGGTAGAATTCGGCTGTGAATCCATCTGGTCCTGGACTCTTTTTGGTTGGTAAACTATTGATTATTGCCACAATTTCAGCTCCTGTTATTGGTCTATTCAGAGATTCAACTTCTTCCTGGTTTAGTCTTGGGAGAGTGTATGTGTCGAGGAATTTATCCATTTCTTCTATTTATTTTTGTTCTTCTGACTGCGTAACTGCAAATGACTTGTCTTCAAGTTCATTGATTGTTTCTTCAGTTTGATTAAATCTGCTGTTGAAGCTCTTTATTGAATTTTTCAGTTCAGTCATTGTGTTCTTCATCTCCAGAATTTCTGTTTGTTTCTTTTTAATGATGTCTATCATTTTGATGAACTTCTAATTTTGTTCAGGCATTTTTTTAATTTCATTTTGTTGTCTATCTTTATTTCCTTGCAGCTCAATGAGCTTCCTTAAGGTGACTATTTTGAATTACTTGTTGGGTAGTTTGTAGATCTCTATTTCTTTAGGGCTGTTTTCAGAACTTTATTTTGTTTCTTTTGTCATGTCATTTTTCTCTCATTCTTCATAATCCATGTGGACTTGCATTGGGATCTGTTTATTTGAAGAAGTCATCATCCTTCCCAGTCTTTACAGACTAACTTATTTATGGAAAGCTCTTCACCAGTCATCTTAGTTAAGGGTTTTGGACAAGACTGCCTGCTGCCAAGTGGACCTGATACCAGGATTGGTGGCTAGCAGGCCAGGTGCCAGTGTCCACAATTGAAAGTTGAATACTCAATTCACTCTCACTTTCCTGGCTTTGTGCCTAGGATTGAAGCAAAGCTGAACACTAACTTTACTCTCACTTTTCCCCCATGAGAGAACTCTTTAGCTGAGGGATCTCTCTCAGTGATGCACTGTGTGGGTTATATTCTGGAGCTCTTGTGAAGATATTTTCATCTGTGGATGATTGTCAAATTGGTGAGGGGATAGATAGGGACTAGAAACTTGTACTTCTATGCTGCCATCTTGCTGATTTTGCAAATAAGTTTTTATTTTAAGCAGATCCAATTTACAATTGTTCCTTTTGTATTTAGTCCTTGGTATGGCCTAGCTAAGAAATCATTGCTTGCTCAATAACGACAAAGACACTCTCCTATGTTTATCTTAACATTGATATGATTTTATATTTTATGACTGGAATTCACCTTCAGTTAATTTTGTGTATGCTATGACTTTATATAAAACTTTCAAATCAGGTAGTATAAAACTCCAAGCTTCTTTTTACTTTTAAAGATTCTTCTCCGGGAGGAGCCAAGATGGCCGAATAGGAACAGCTCCAGTCTACAGCTCCCAGCATGAGCAATGCTGAAGACGGGTGATTTCTGCATTTCCATCTGAGGTACCGGGTTCATCTCACTAGGGAGTGCCAGACAGTGGGTGCAGGTCAGTGGGTGCATGCACCGTGCCCGAGCAGAAGCAGGGCGAGGCATTGCCTCACTCGGGAAGCGCAAGGGGTCAGGGAGTTCCCTTTCCTAGTCAAAGAAAGTGGTGACAGACAGCACCTGGAAAATCGGGTCACTCCCACCTGAATACTGCGCTTTTCCGATGGGCTTAAAAAACGTTGAACCAGGAGATTATATCACACACCTGGCTTGGAGGGTCCTATGCCCACGGAGTCTCACTGATTGCTAGCACAGCAGTCTGAGATCAAACGGCAAGGCGGCAGCGAGGCTGGGGGAGGGGCGCCCGCCATTGCCCAGGCTTGCTTAGGTAAACAAAGCAACCAGGAAGCTCGAACTGGGTGGAGCCCACCACAGCTCAAGGAGGCCTGCCTGCCTCTGTAGGCTCCACCTCTGGGGGCAGGGCACAGACAAACAAAAAGACAGCAGTAACCTCTGCAGACTTAAATGTCCCTGTCTGACAGCTTTGAAGAAAGCAGTGGTTCTCCCAGCACGCAGCTGGAGATCTGAGAATGGGCAGACAGCCTCCTCAGGTGGGTCCCTGACCCCTGACCCCCTGAGCAGCCTAACTGGGAGGCACCCCCCAGCAGGGGAAGACTGACACCTCACATGGCCGGGTACTCCAACAGACCTGCAGCTGAGGGTCCTGTCTGTTAGAAGGAAAACTAACAAACAGAAAGGACATCCACACCAAAAACCCACCTGCACATCACTATCATCAAAGACCAAAAGTAGATAAAACCACAAAGATGGGGAAAAAACAGAGCAGAAAAACTGGAAACTCTAAGAAGCAGAGCACTTCTCCTCCTCCAAAGGAACACAGTTCCTCACCAGCAGCGGAATAAAGCTGGACAGAGAATGACTTTGATGAGCTGAGAGAAGAAGGCTTCAGACGATCAAATTACTCCGAGCTACGGGAGGACATTCAAACCAAAGGCAAAGAAGCTGAAAACTGAAAAAAATTTAGAAGAATGTATAACTAGAATAATCGATACAGAGAAGTGCTTAAAGGAGGTGATGGAGCTGAAAACCAAGGCTTGAGAACTACGTGAAGAATGCAGAAGCCTCAGGAGCCAATGCAATCAACTGGAAGAAAGGGTATCAGTGACAGAAGATGAAATGAATGAAATGAAGCGAGAAGGGAAGTTTAGAGAAAAAAGAATAAAAAGAAATGAGCAAAGCCTCCAAGAAATATGGGACTATGTGAAAAGACCAAATCTATGTCTGATTGGTGTACCTGAAAGTGACGGGGAGAATAGAACCAAGTTGAAAAACACTCTGCAGGATATTATCCAGGAGAACTTCCCCAGTCTAGCAAGGCAGGCCAACATTCAGATTCAGGGAATACAGAGAACGCCACAAAGATACTCCTCGAGAAGAGCAACACCAAGACACATAATTGTCAGATTCACCAAAGTTGAAATGAAAGAAAAAATGTTAAGGGCAGCCAGAGAGAAAGGTCAGGTAACCCTCAAAGGGAAGCCCATCAGACTAACAGCAGATCTCTCGGCAGAAACTCTACAAGCCAGAAGAGAGTGGGAGCCAATATTCAACATTCTTAAAGAAAAGAATTTTCAACCCAGAATTTCATATCCAGCCAAACTAAGCTTCATAAGTGAAGGAGAAATAAAATACTTTACAGTCAAGCAAATGCTGAGAGATTTTGTCACCACCAGGCCTGCCCTAAAAGAGCTCCTGAAGGAAGCGCTAAACATGGAAAGGAACAACCGGTACCAGCCACTGCAAAATCATGCCAAAATGTAAAGACCATCGAGACTAGGAAGAAACTGCATCAACTAACGAGCAAAATAACCAGCTAACATCATAATGACATGATCAAATTCACACATAACAATATTAACTTTAAATGTAAATGGACTAAATGCTCCAATTAAAAGACACAGACTGGCAAATTGGATAAAGGGTCAAGACCCATCAGTGTGCTGTATTCAGGAAACCCATCTCATGGGCAGAGACACACATAGGCTCAAAATAAAAGGATGGAGGAAGATCTACCAAGCAAATGGAAAACAAAAAAAGGCAGGGGTTGCAATCCTAGTCTCTGATGAAACAGACTTTAAACCAACAAAGATCAAAAGAGACAAAGAAGGCCATTACATAATGGTAAAGGGATCAATTCAACAAGAAGAGCTAACTATCCTAAATATATATGCACCCAATACAGGAGCACCCAGATTCATAAAGCAAGTCCTCAGTGACCTACAAAGAGACTTAGACTCCCACAAATTAATAATGGGAGACTTTAACACCCCACTGTCCACATTAAACAGATCAACGAGACAGAAAGTCAACAAGGATACCCAGGAATTGAACTCAGCTCTGCACCAAGCAGACCTAATAGACATCTACAGAACTCTCCACCCCAAATCAACAGAATATACATTTTTTTCAGCACCACACCACACCTATTCCAAAATTGACCACATACTTGGAAGTAAAGCTCTCCTCAGCAAATGTAAAAGAACAGAAATTATAACAAACTGTCTCTCAGACCACAGTGCAATCAAACTAGAACTCAGGATTAAGAATCTCAGTCAAAACCACTCAACTACATGGAAACTGAACAACCTGCTCCTGAATGACTACTGGGTACATAACGAAATGAAGGCAGAAATAAAGATGTTCTTTGAAACCAACGAGAACAAAGACACAACATACCAGAATCTCTGGGACACATTCAAAGGAGTGTGTAGAGGGAAATTTATAGCACTAAATGCCCACAAGAGAAAGCAGGAAAGATCCAAAATTGACACCCTAACATCACAATTAAAAGAACTAGAGAAGCAAGAGCAAACACATTTAAAAGCTAGCAGAAGGCAAGAAATAACTAAAATCAGAGCAGAACTGAAGGAAATAGAGACACAAAAACCCTTCAAAAAATCAATGAATCCAGGAGCTGGTTTTTTGAAAGGATCAACAAAATTGATACACTGCTAGCAAGACTAATAAAGAAAAAAAGAGAGAAGAATCAAATAGATGCAATAAAAATGATAAAGGGGATATCACCACCGATCCCACAGAAATACAAACTACCATCAGAGAATACTACAAACACCTCTATGCAAATAAACTAGAAAATCTAGAAGAAATGGATAAATTCCTCGACACATACACTCTCCCAAGACTAAACCAGGAAGAAGCTGAATCTCTGAATAGACCAATAACAGGAGCTGAAATTGTGGCAATAATCAATAGCTTACCAATGAAAAAGAGTCCAGGACCAGATGGATTCACAGCCGAATTCTACCACAGGTACAAGGAGGAACTGGTACCATTCCTTCTGAAACTGTTCCAATCAATAGAAAAAGAGGGAATCCTCCCTAACTCATTTTATAAGACCAACATCATCCTGATACCAAAGCCGGACAGAGACACAATAAAAAAAAAGAATTTTAGACCAATATCCTTGATGAACATCAATGCAAAAATCCTCAATAAAGTACTGGCAAACCGAATCTAGCAGCACATCAAAAAGCTTATCCACCCTGATCAAGCGGGCTTCATCCCTGGGATGCAAGGCTCGTTCAATATATGCAAATCAATAAATGTATTCCAGCATATAAACAGAACCAAAGACAAAAACCACATGATTATCTCAACAGATGCAGAAAAGGCCTTTGACAAAATTCAACAACCCTTCATGCTAAAAACTCTCAATAAATTAGGTATTGATGGGACGTATCTCAAAATATTAAGAGCTATCTATGACAAACCCACAGCCAATATCATACTGAATGGGCAAAAACTGGAAGCATTCCCTTTGAAAACTGGCACAAGACAGGGATGTCCCTTCTCACCAGTCCTATTCAACATAGTGTTGGAAGTTCTGGCCAGGGCAATTAGGCAGGAGAAGGAAATAAAGGGTATTCAATTAGGAAAAGAGGAAGTCAAATTGTCCCTGTTTGCAGACGACATGATTGTATATCTAGAAAACCCCATTGTCTCAGCCCAAAATCTCCTTAAGCTGATAAGCAACTTCAGCAAAGTCTCAGGATACAAAATCAATGTACAAAAATCACAAGCATTCTTATACACCAAGAACAGACAGAGAGCCAAATCATGAGTGAACTCCCATTCACAATTGCTTCAAAGAGAATAAGATACCTAGGAATCCAACTTCCAAGGGATGTGAAGGACCTCTTCAAGGAGAACTACAAACCACTGCCCAAAGAAATAAAAGAGGATACAAACAAATGGAAGAACATTCCATGCTCATGGGTAGGAAGAATCAATATCGTGAAAATGGCCATACTGCCCAAGGTAATTTACAGATTCAATGCCATCCCCATCAAACTACCAATGACTTTCTCCACAGAATTGGAGAAAACTACTTTAAAGCTCATATGGAACCAAAAAAGAGCCCGCATCGCCAAGTCAATCCTGAGCCAAAAGAACAAAGCTGGAGGCATCACACTACCTGACTTCAAACTATACTACAAGGCTACAGTAACCAAAACAGCATGGTACTGGTACCAAAACAGAGATATAGATCAATGGAACAGAACAGAGCCCTCAGAAGTAACGCCACATATCTATAACTATCTGATCTTCGACAAACCTGAGAAAAACAAGCAATGGGGAAAGGATTCCCTATTTAATAAATGGTGCTGGGAAAACTGGCTAGCCATATGTAGAAAGCTGAAACTGGATCCCTTCCTTACACCTTATACAAAAATCAATTCAAGATGGATTAAAGACTTAAACGTTAGACCTAAAACCATAAAAACCCTAGAAGAAAACCTAGGCATTCCCATTCAGGACATAGGCATGGGCAAGTACTTCATGTCTAAAACACCAAAAGCAATGGCAACAAAAGCCAAAATTGGCAAATGGGATCTAATTAAACTAAAGAGCTTCTGCACAGCAAAAGAAACTACCATCAGAGTGAACAGGCAACCTACAAAATGGGAGAAAATTTTCGCAACCTACTCATCTGACAAAGGGCTAATATCCAGAATCTACAATGAACTCAAACAAATTTACAAGAAAAAACAACCCCATCAAAAAGTGGGCGAAGGACATGAACAGACACTTCTCAAAAGAAGACATTTATGCAGCCAAAAAACACATGAAAAAATGCTAACCATCACTGGCCAACAGAGAAATGCAAATCAAAACCACAATGAGATACCATCTCACACCAGTTAGAATGGCAATCATTAAAAAGTCAGGAAACAACAGGTGCTGGAGAGGATGTGGAGAAATAGGAACACTTTTACACTGTTGGTGGGACTGCAAACTGTTCAACCATTGTGGAAGTCAGTGTGGCGATTCCTCAGGGATCTAGAATTAGAAATACCATTTGACCCAGCCATCCCATTACTGGGTATATACCCAAAGGACTATAAATCATACTGGTATAAAGACACATGCACATGTATGTTTATTGTGGCACTATTCACAATAGCAAAGAGTTGGAACCAATGCAAATGTCCAACAATGATAGACTGGATTAAAAAAATGTGGCACATATACACCATGGAATACTATGCAGCCATAAAAAATGATGAGTTCATGTCCTTTGTAGGGACATGGATGAAATTGGAAATCATCATTCTCAGTAAACTATCGCAAGAACAAAAAACCAAACACCGCATATTCTCACTCATAGGTGGGAATTGAACAATGAGAACACATGGACACAGGAAGGGGAACATCACACTCTGGGGACTGTTGTGGGGTGGGGGGAGAGGGGAGGGATGGCATTGGGAGATATACCTAATGCTAGATGACGAGTTAGTAGGTGCAGCGCAGCAGCATGGCACATGTATACATATGTAACTAACCTGCACATTGTGCACATGTACCCTAAAACTTAAAGTATAATAATAATAAATAAATTTTAAAGAAAGAAAAAAAATAAAGATTCTTCTGGCTCTTTGCATTTTCATATAAATTTTGGAATCAGTTTCAATTTCTTCAGAAAAACCTTTTGCCATTTTGATTGAGATTGTGTTGCAGATCAACTGAGGACAACTGACACCTTAAAAATGAATCTTTGACTTCATGGAATGTCAAATATATTAATCGTCTTTATTCTCTCCACAATGCTTTGAAATTTTCTGTGTATTGTATTTCCAGTCTTTTATCATGCTATTCCTATTTCATGTTTTTGGATGCTTTATACATGTTAAAGTTAAAATTCATTTTTCTAATTATTTGTTGCTAGTTTCACAAAAATACAACTGATCTTATATATTGAGCTTGCATCTTGCAAATAAGCTAAATTCATTTATTAATTCTCATAGTTTATTTGTAGAGCTTTTAGGATTTTTCATATAAACAATAATAATTTTTGTGAAAGATAGTTTTATTTCTTTTTAAACTCTATGTATTGTAGTTTTCTCTCTTGCTTTATTGTACTTGCTAGGGATAGCTGCACAACGTTAAATGCAAGTATTAAAGGTGGACCTTCTTGCCTTATGCATAACCTTCAGGGATAATCATCATTTTTCTTCATTAATTATGATGTCAGTCATGACTTTTGAAGTTCTCTTACATTACTGGTTCTCTCAGGGATTTTTAAAAATCATAAATTGACATTAAATCTTGTCAAATGTTTTTTCTAATCTGTTGTGGTGATCATATGCTTTTTGTTTTAGTCTACTAATGTGGTAAATACGTAGATTTATTTTTGAAAGATAAACCAACCTTGCATCCCTGAAATAAATCCCACATGGTATGGTATGTTATCCTTTTGGTAATTATTTTGTTCACTTTCTCAGGAATTTGTGAATCTGTGTTCATGTGTACTATTGGTCTGTAATGCTAATTTTTGCTATGTCTTTATCAGGTTTTAATATCAGCATTGTGTTGGCCTCATAAAATCAGTTGGAAGTATTGTTTACTCCTTTTTCTACAGTGAGACTGTTGGGTAAGTGTATAATGAATGTCACAGCACAGGCAGAATCAGGTTTCTTTTTCTGCATTGCTGTCTATTCTATTAATGTCAACTTTTATTAGTTTCTGCAACAAATAGACAATCAAAAACCAGGAATTACAACTCACACAAAATATCTGTGAACATACAAAATATTATTTAAAAGTTTGGACAGTGATAATGTCACAAGAAAGGGTCACACAATAAAGAAAATAAACCAAACACCATTCTAAGTATTCTATTCTCAAATAGCATTGGTGTTCATACTTGCTTCCAATAAGGTTCTTTTTTCCTTGTTTTTTCCTCCACATGACACCTATTTTCTTCTTCCTCCTTTGTTTATATTTTAACCTTCTATCTTCATCTCTTAAAAAAAAACAAATTTCCTATTTTCATCCAGTGCAGAGTAATTGTATCATTTCCTATTAAATTTTGAACCCTAAAGTACATAGGCTCTTAATAGCTTTCCTTCATTTCTAAGCACAGAGCAAGGTATTTTTTCCAAATAGAAAGTGTTCCCTTTTTTAAAAGATTTTAAAAAGAATTTTGATGCCAGATAATAAGATAGTTTTATTACATAATCACATGAAAAATATATGTATGTGGCATGTTGGTCTTTAAGGAAATGTCTGCTAGAATTTCCCTATCAGGCCTGGTAGTCCTCTGTAACATGTCCCTGATAGCCCTAGAAGAGGAAAATATCCTCATACTTCTCTCAAAACTTTCTACACTTTTTGATGTCACCTGGACAATGTTAAAAAATTCTTGGCATTTTAGCTGTGCACAGGCAGAAATTTTGATGAACAATTTACATGCTGGCTTGAAAGATTGCTTTTATAATTGCCAGAGCAGAGTGGCTGGGGTAGAGCTAGCATCCAAAGCCTTATATGTCTTGTTAAGATAGTGACAGAATCTCTTAAATGGGGAATACAACCACTGGTTTCTGTGCTACTTCTGCCATTAACCTGCTGTAAAATCTAGCATGTTACTCCTCCTTCTGGACCAGGTTTTCTTGGACATGAAGTGAAACAGATGGCTTAGATATAAGTATAGAGTCTAAACTTAAGACTCTGAATGGTATTCAGTTCTAAAATCTTACATGCTTGTATTATTAGCAAGCTATATACCTCAACCTTGCCCAATGTTCTACCACAAACACTTGCGTATGTAAGGTTCAGTGGTGAAGGAATAAAATCAGAAGCATTTTCTTCCTGTTTGACTACAAAATGTTTACAGAGTCACTCTTGATCATTTCTTTTATACTAATTTTCATTCTGATTGGTTTTTAGTTGAAGAACCAAAGTTGACATGGTTTATCCTTAATCTAAGTAGAGAGTGGTTCTCCCTGTAAGCTATCCTTTCCTACTACATACACCACTACTTGAGTAACTTAGGCTCTTTAGAACTTGCTTTCAGTTCAGTGAAAGTTACAGAAACTCAGACAATTAGTGAAAGTTAAAGAAATGGTGAGAAAGTTATAACAAATCCAACTTTAAGTATCCCTAAAAGCATCCACTGTCTACTATACTGTGTTATAGTGGATTCATTTATAATGCGTACTGAGTTAGGATTCACATTTTCAGCCTCCTTCTTCCCATATATAGCTTACTTTTTCTCTCTGCCTTATGTCTGAGGTGGGGAAGAATGGGGAGTGGTCATTTTCTGAGAAAGGCATGCTATACTAGTGGGAATTGCTTTGGAATTATTCAGATCTGAGCTTGAATGCTGCCTGTGCTTGCTGCCTGTACTTGGGCACATGATTTACTTTCTCTAAGCTTCAGGTTTTTCCTCTGTAAAGTGGGGTTAGTTAAGTTCTACTTCGAACAATAGCAACAAGGAAAATGTATGCAAATGGTCTATTATGATGTGTAACACATATGGAACACCAAATAAAATATAATTCCTTTCTTTCTTTCTCCTGATTCTTGTTTCTATGGCCTTTAATAATGTAGCTCCATTGTAGAACTCCATTCTTTTAACATTATGTAATAGACATTGTGTTTGGTTCCAAGGTTACAGAGGTAAGTAAGGCAGGGATTCTAATCTCAAACAGCAGGGACACTGCTTTTAAGGAAAACATGTCTAGCTTGTTTCTCCTCCTTCTGGATCAGGTTTTCTTGGACATGAAGTGAAACAGATGGCTTAGATATAAGTATAGAGCCTAAACTTAAGGCTCTGAATGGTATTCAGTTCTAAAATCTTACATGCTTGTATTAGCAAGCTATATACCTCAACCTTGCCCAAAGTTCTACCACAAACACTTGCTTATGTAAGGTTCAGTGGTGAAGGAATAAAACATTATGTAATTGACATTGTGTTTGGTTCCAAGGTTACAGAGGTAAGTAAGGCGGGGACTCTGATCTCAAACAGCAGAGACGCTGATCTCAAATCTAGTCTGCTAGGAGCGTCACACATATAGACAAAGAGCTGTCCTCTGGTATGCTAAGCACCCTCTGACACGACACAGAGGCAGTATGAACATGAGAGGTTTAGTTCTCAACTCCCTTTGTCCTTTTGCTTTTTTCTCTCCTCCCACCTAATCCCTTCCCTTCCTGTAGCCCTTCCTTTCCCTGCAGCCCAAAGTGACAGATGGGCCAGGCTGTGTGGAGCAAGAAAGTTTCAGTTCCTTTTTCTCCCACCTCAAGCCTAGTGTATGGTAACATTACACAGAGAGCCATAAAAAAGTTCTTTCTTGTAGCACATTTCAGGGTTTTTTCCAGTGACATCATGGGCCATCTGGATTTGAAGACAGCAGCCTCATCCAGAACACACACACACGCACTCTCCCCTGCCAGGCCCTGCAGGTCTGCCCTCTAGGATCAGGAGCACTATAAACGTCCTGTAAAGCTGTCTTTTTAATAGCCTCCTCAGAAGCAGCCTAAGGAAGATGGTCTTTTCCTCCTGCAGTCCCATGGATGGCAGATAAAGTGGATTCTCAGCACAGAAGCCTCAGAGGAGAAGGTGAGAAGTGAGGTTTCCAGATTTTTGCCAAAATATCACACTGCCTCCTGCTGGGAAAAAGGAACCCATTTTCCAACAGGAAACTGAATTTAACCCTTATGACATAAGGGATTTAGGTTAGATGTAAGTACATGCTTTCAATACAGGAATGTTTTAGATATTATTTCTGAAATTGTTTCAGAGGATTTTAAAAGAGGAAAAAAAACAACTGTATCTAACAACCACAGAGCTGGAACTTGTAACATTTTCCTAAGAAGGAGAAGATTCAGAAGTTCTTTCAGGGAAAGTTTCTGTGCTGTCTTTGAACGATCACAATTCCTGTGCATGACTGGAAGAAATCATTCCCATTAGCTGATTGTCTTCTGTGAACTAGAAAACATGAATCCCTCTTCTTACCTGAGGCATATACTCAATCTATAGAATTGATTGGTTCTATCACCAAAATATAACTTGACTCATCCACTTCTCCCCATCTCCAGGGTCCCCCTGGAGAACCTCCAGGCCTATCTCATCTCCCACTTGCACAGTGGATACATCTTGCTAATTAGTCTCCAGGTTTCCACCCTTGCTCCTTTCCATTTGTCCTCCACACAGAAGCCAGAGGATCATTAAAAAAAAAAAAATCAAAACCAAGCTATATTATTTTCCTGCTTAAAACCCTATAACGGCTTCCAGTATACTTAACATAAAATTCAGTCATAAATAATCTGCAAAGACCTGTAGGACTCCCTCACCCCTCACCCCCACTCCACATTAGAGCTTCAGCTCCTCTCACGGTCACCTGACTCACCATTGATACCCTCACTGCCCCTTTTTCTGCTATTCTAAGCCCATGCTCCTGCCTTATGCTTACTTCTACTTGGAGGGCTTTTCTCTCTAGTCTTCTCTTCATCTCTCAGCTTAGATAGCACTTCCTCTGTTGCCCTTGCTGATTACCTTCCTAGCTTAAACTGGCTCTTCCCCTCCCATATTATTCTGTCTCACAGACACTATTATTTCCCATCATAGCATATACCATTTGTAATTGTATATTTGGGATTGTGTTTATTTGTTGACTATTGAGTTTTCACTAAATTTTATAAGCTTTCACTAAGATTCATGTCTGTTTTATTGGCCACTGAATCTTCAGTGCCTTCTACAGTGTAGGTGTACAGCAAGCATGGAATGAATATTGCAATTGGGTAGAAGCAGAGCTAAAGAAGGAATAAGGCCTGGAGCTCACTCTGCCTGTGTCCGAGAACACCTTGAAACGTTCTCTACATGGATTTCACTCATATTACACATCCTCCCTTTGGAGGGACAGCATCGTGCCATGATAGGTATGTAGTGGTATATCACTGTAGTTTTAATTTGCTTTTTCAAGATGACTAGTGAGGTGGAGACCTTTTTAATATATTAAATTATCATAGTATGCTGGATTTTTTCTTTTATGCCTAGCATATTTTGTAATATGTAATATGTTTAAGAAATATTTGCCTACTCAAAATTATGAAGATGTTTTATGTTTTATTCTAAAAGCTTGGTTGTTTTGCATTTCACATTTAGATCAGCAATCCATTTAGATAACTAATTTAGGAGCATAATGTGAGACAGGTTAAAATTCCTTCCCCCTCCCCCTTATTCATATCCAATTGACCAGAACCATTTACTGAAAAGGCATGCTTTTCCCAAGGCATGGTCATGTTTTGTCAACAGGTCTGGGTTTGTTTCTGAATTGTTATTCTATTCATTATTTACTTAGTTGTGTTTATTCATTTTCTTTGTTTATTATTTCTTTATTTGTTTATTTATTATTGTGCTTATTCATTTTCATTATTCTTCCTCCTTCTTCCTTCCTACAACTTTCACCCCCAGCCTGAAATAAGGCAACTTGCATTCGTCACTGTGTCCTGAGGGCCTTGAACATTGCCTGACATATAATAGATATTTAATTTAAGAGTATTTGTTCATGAACGTGTCACGCAAACCAAGGTGAATAGCCAGACAGCATACACACTGGGGCTGAATTTACTATGAAAATCACAGAGACAGGAGCAGAATGGCATACAAAGATATAGCAGGACCAGAGTCAGATATGGGAAAAGTATCTGAATGAAGTTCCTGTGGCTACTATAACAAATTACCACAAACATATGGTGGCTTCAAACAATAATTCTGGAGACCAGGCATCTGAAATCAGTATCACTGGCCAAAATTGTGTTGTCAGTAGGGCAGCACCCTGTCCAGAGGCTGTAGGGAGAATTTGTTCCCTGCCTCCTCCAGCCTCTGGTGGCTGCCCAGATTCCTCAATTTCTGGCTGCATCACTCCAATCTCTGTCTCCATGGTCACACTGCCTTCTCCTTCTCTGTGTGTCTTTTCCTCTCAAATCTCCTTCTACACTTGTTCTATAAAGACAGGTGTGTTTCCATTTAGGTCTCACCCAGATAATCTAAGAAAAGTCTCTCATCTCAAAATTCATTAATTTAATTTAATCAGATTTGCAAAGACCCATCTTCCTTACAAGGTAACATAGGCACTGATATCTTTGGGGGACCATTGTCCTGCCTACCACAGAATCTTTGACTTGGTTGTGGGGCTTTTAAACTGTGTGACTGGGGAAGCACAGCCTGTCTCCTGGTATGATCAGAGTTGGGAACCCAAGAGCAGCATTTTGTGCAGCACTTGGCCGCAGCCTTAATCCATCAGCTCAGAACTTTTGGTTTGGAGTTCACCTCATGCAGTGATTTTTAACCAAGGGTGATTTTGAGTCCTGGGAGGACTTTTGGCTACATCTTGAGACATTTTTGATTGTCCTGCTAGGGAGAGATGGTTGCAACCGGCATCTAGTAGTTAGAGGTCAGAAATGTTGCTAAACATCTTATAATGCACAGGGAAACCCCCCACAACAAAGAATTGTCCAGTTCAAGATGTCAGTAGTGTGAAGTTGAGAAGCCCTTCCCTAATGTCATAAGGAATCCAAACTGTTTAACTGCAACTGTATGACTTGGTGTGTAGGTGGCATCATTTATCACCTCAGCATTCATGGATGTAGAAGCTCAAGCCCCTGTCCATGGCATCATGAGGACTGAGATCAAGGACTTAGGGCTGCAGCTTTTATCTCTTAGCAGTCTGGAACTTGATTTGCCCCCTCAATGTTCTGCCAGGATTGATCACCTTAGCGATTTGACTGTATGTTGCTGGGTTCCATTGAACTTTTCAAGGAGTCGGGCCTTGGGGAGTAAGTCTCAGACAGATTAACCTTAATGCTCAGGATGCCTCTTTACCTTCACCCTATGTGGGGGATTCTCTTACTACTTTCATGAGGAAATGAGTCTTGGGAAAATTAAGTTTCTTGTTCAAGTTTACATAGTAGTGGAGACAGAATTCAACCCAAGAACATTCTGACTCCAGAGCCCTAGTTTTAAATATCTGCAGCACATTGCCTCTCATGGATCCAAAGAAGGTCCAAAGAAGATCGAGGCCTTGCAGATTAATTAGCTTCAACTTTTTCACACTCATTTTGAAGAATTGAAAAGAACTGAACCGTTTTCCACAGAATTCTTATACAGACATTCTGAAATGTTGAAGAGATAAATAAAAGTGATAAATCAATGGGTCCCTCAGGAAACAGAAATCTTATTGTTTGGTAGAAAACATCTTTTTGTTTGCTGAAATCCTAAAACACCTCTGTAACACTTTGTAGTTTGGAAAGCATCATTGGAAAACAAGCGATGTACTTCTAGGGCATCATCTTATGGATGCAACACTGAGCTGTAGTCAGGTGATGGGTTGGTTAAGACTACACAGGTAGCTAGCTACATAGTCTCAGCAGGACTCCTCGATTTCTCATCTTTATTTCATACTCTATGGAGTCTCTCTACACCCACTGTGTCTCAAGTAGCACTGCTCCTTCAGAATTGGTTATGTTGTATTACAAATTTGCAACTGAACAGAATTACATTCTAGAAGATAGGTGTCCTCTGAAACTCATTGTTAGGACAATTCCTTGACATGGATATTAAAAAAGCATGCTCCAGTATAATAAAGGCAATGTCACCAGGGGTCATTAGGTCAAAAAGAAAGTGCTTTTTCTTCACCTTAATAACTGTGCAACTGGAAGAGTGGGGCTGCCTACAGTGGCTATCATGAGTTGCTCATCAGAAGAACAGTTTTTTGAAAAAAATAAATAATCTTCCCAGCAACTGTTTGTGCCAAATGAATGACATATATCCTCACCTATCTTTCTTTCCTGTGGTGAATATACCCTAAGGTGACCCCCCAATGAGTCATGATCTTATATAATCCTATTCCTTTGAATACAGACAGAATATACATTGCTTATAGCCAATAAAAAAATGGCAAAGATAATGGGAAAGTTTCTCCTCTGATTACATTAGGTTTGGTGAGATTTCATCTTAGTAGACTGGATGACAGGGTGAGACCTCATCTCCTAAATAAATAAAGGACAATTCCTTTATTTGTTGTCAAACATACTTTTGATCTATTTACGTACATTATTTTTCAATACTCACAACTTTGTGAAGTAAGGTTTTATGATTGTTCACCATTTTATAGATGAGGGACTGAGCCTTAGGATGTTAATTTGTGTGAGTTTATGCAGCAAATAAGTATTATACATAACAATATAAAGGGTTTTATAAACTGCAAATTACTCTACCAATGTGAGTTGTTATCATTATTATATTTTGCTTTTGTCTTTGAGCCCTTTGTCTTCCCAGCTTTCTCCCAATTCACTCATGCTTCATATGCAGACAGGAGGAAGCATAATTCCAAGAAAAGGAGAGAAAATAATAATATTAAATGGCTGCCAAGGGATCTGAGCAATGGATTCAACAGGCTGGATCAGTTCAGCTCACCAGGGTGGCCCTTCCCTAACTGGGATCCTGGGCCCACCACATGCTACTTTACTGCCTGAGAGAGGCGATGACACAATTTAGTGTTAGAGTGTTAGTGTTCTGCCTCATCGAAGACATGGCATTGTCATTTTTCATTCTGGGGAACAGCTTGCAGTACAGAAAGAAATCATGTCAGACCAAAAGGGGAGTCTTTCAACATAGCATTCCATCCTGAGGGAGAAAAAAAACAGAACAAGTGGGCAGTACTGACATCTGATTCCATCCTCCAGTGGCAACACATATGCCGAGCCCCAGCCATCATCCTCTGCCCAGAGAAGAAGCAGCAATGGGAAAGTGACATTTTACATTATTCAGTGATTTCCAATTTGCAAACTTCTTTAACACATCTTATCTCATCATCTCCATAATTAATCATGAAGAAGGCAGGGTAGCTACAGTTATTTTCATTTTACAAACAAGGATTCTGAGACTTTGCAAGTTTGAGATTTATTCAAGTGTCTGGTTAATATGGAATCAAGATGATTTTGCATATATTATCTTAGAAGCCGATCACAGTAAAACTGTTGCATTATTTTATCCCCATTCTGCAGGTGTGGGAGTTAGATCCTAAAGAAATAAAGTGTCTTGCTTAAGGTCATGTTGCCAGTATATGGTAAAACTGGTTTTGGAACTTATCTTTTAACTCTCTATGTCCAACATTCTTTCCAATAAGCAAATGATATACTTAAAGAGAATAAGCTTGGAGTTCTATGTCTGGTGACCTTAGAGAGAGAGGAGAAGAAAAGACAGAATGAGAAGTTCAGGAAGGATTAGACAGAGGGAAATAGTATGGAGAAAGAAGAGGTGAAATAGTATGGGGAAAGAACCATTTAAGAATGCATTAAAATCCCCAAAAGGCATTCTACATTTTGGATTTAAGCTGTTAATAGTGGATGGGATGGAATGATAACCCCAGATAAAGTACGAAGGAAGCCAACTATGTATAGCTCAGGCCCTGACTGGTGAAATCTCTCTCAGAGGAATCTCAGTCTCAAAGGGCCTCCATGGAATATGCGGCAATGGGAACAATACTGCCAAAGAATTTCTAAAATATTCAATACAAAATATGCCTGAGCATGCAGCCAAAGCAAGGTAAAGAAATGGCCAATTATATAATGTAAAGTGCCTATATTTACCATATAATTTAAGATCTAAGTCTCCCCTTGCTTTTTGTGGTGGTGTTGTTTAAATCCAGACTAAGAAAAAAGGCAAGGAGAGACTTTATTTTGTTTTTCAGACTTTTAAACCCCAGGAAAGATATAACTTGTTCAGACGCCTAGACTCTAAACTCTAACCATGAAAATAAAACAGCAGGTCTACATATAATCCTGTGCTCAAAGCTAAGCAAAGGCCAAAATAAAAGCTTTACAGCCAAATTCCTTGGTGTTCTACAGCTCAAAAACATTCTAGTGGGTGAGTCTAGGTTCTCGAAAAATATTTACTTGAAATCAAGTCTCAGAAATTGTTGTTTGAGCATATAATGATGTAAATGCTTCAGCTACCCAGCTTGTGTGGCTGAACCTTCAACTCGCTCAGCTCTTCTTTCTTACTAAGGGACCCCAAAGACTCTGCTTTTGCCTTAATTCACTGTCACAGCTCCTGGGAGTGAAAGATGATATTCTATCCTCATTTGCTGATTAGGAAATTGAGCTGTGGGGCCACTAAAACAGCCAAGGCCACACATCTAGTCCAGGGGAGCGCCAAGACCAGACCACTCCTTCCCAGCTCACACTCCCAGCCACACTCACAGACCAAAGCTCGGCTTTACTTATCCCAGAAGGGAAAATTTAAATTCGGCTTTCATGCAAACATCTCTCCCTGGACAATATTTACTTATCGTTCCTTTTGCTTTTCTGAACAGTTGTCTGTCCAGTAATGATGTATTTATGTCCTGACTATTAACAGCATGCTACATGCTGGTAGGACTTGAAGGCAAAGATATAAAAATCCCAGGAGAAAGTATGCCAGGCAAGGGAGTATTGATCAGAAAACCCAGATCACAATTTTTCAGTGTTATTTGGGCTCAAAGTCACTCTTAGGGCAGTAAAGGCTTTGACTAAATGTAGTATGTAGAACTCTCCCCTCAACTGACATTTTAATCTTGATATAATAAAGTTAGAAAGGCATATATTTGAAGAAAAAGGGCAGTCACAAAAGAGCGTTGTGGAGTGAGTAAGAAGCAGTTTCTGAGATGATGCCCTCAGGGGCTGATGAACTTGATTGTGTCTGAAAAGGCCAGTGTGTTTATCTCATGTCATACTTCTCAGATCAGGACAGATAAGTAATGCTTGCAACTGCTGCTCTTGAGTGGACATTGATTTGGGCCTTTGTGAGTAGGTGCTATTATTAATCTCATTTCATAGATGGGGAGAGATTGAAACACAGAGAGGTCGTGCAATCTGCCTAAAGTCACACAATAAGTAGCAAATCAGGAATCAAATTCAGACGGTCTGGCTTCAGAATCAACATGGAAGACTTATTATACCTGTATCTGGGTAAAGTAAGGAGAGTGCCATGGATAAGTTCTAATTTTTCTCATTATGTTATCAGATGTTGGGGTGTAATGAAAATAAAAAAGTATCACAACTTGGCAGTGAGCTAGAAGGGGTCAGTTTGATGCTTGAAAATTAGGAAGGATATTTAGATGAGTCCTGTGCTATGTACAGCTTTAATATTAATTCTTAGGTTTTTATTGGTAAAATAATATAGTGCAGTGATTAAAAGCCTGAGCTCCAAAGTAGACAAATCTACATTATCCTAGATGTAACTAGCTGTATATACTTGTTAACATTGCTCATATTCCATTTCCTTATCTGTAAATGGAGATAAAACAGGTATCTACATTAAGGAAAATATGTGTAAAGTATTTCATTTTATGTAAAGTAGTATCATTCAGTGAATGTTATTATTTTATTATTGAGCTTTTCACTGGGACCAGCTGGTATCTGAGTCCGTAAAAAAATAAAGGTCATTCATATTTACTACCGCATACCCATGTGTCTATTAAGTTCCTGGGTAGCAATGATGCCTCAAATGGGTGGAAGTGTTCTACAAATAAGCAGGATTATATTGCTATCCATCGTATTAGTTTGGCCACTGTGGTAATGTAAATGCAGTGTATCTCTCTCTCTCTGTGTGTGTGTGTGTGTGTGTGTCATAAGTTTTTTGGTACATACTCCGATGGCATTCTTGCCTCTTTCTTAGCTGGTTGCCTCCATAAATTATGACCTAGCCTACCCACAATAAGAGAACCCTAAAGCACCAGAGTAACAGACCTGATTGATTATGTTCCAGGAAATTTTTTTGGTACACCTGTTCATGAAGCTGTTTCTAATTATTAAAGCTTAAATACTAAACTTCCCTTCTCTAAGTTATTACTTAGAGTTTCTTCCTAATTCACTAACAATCTCATTACACAGGTCTGTTTTTCTAGGATATAAGAAAAGGGCAGAACGCAGAGCCCAGATTGTTTTCCTTGGTATGTAGCCCTGGGGCGATAGATCACCAGAGTTGAAGAGTGACCTGCTGAGAAAGTATGGGAGAGCTTCTGGGTAATGCACGAAAGAAACCCAGGATGAGCAGAAGGGAACAAGCACTGAAGAAACCTACACTGTTATCATTTGTGTTAGGTAGCCCTTCTTGATATGGGTGGGAGTCCACCCATCAAGGTGATGATCTAGAAGTAGAAGAATCATAGAAAAATGGGATGCTGAGCATGCAACAACTTTAAAATAGTTTAATATTTGCTCATACCTCTTCCATTGGCAATACTTGGTAGCAACCTGATTTTATAGAAATTTATATATTCATTTCTTCCTTATTGAGGTCAAATAAATTACTCATGTCTAAAACGTCATCTTTTTTTCTTCTTTTTTTTGTTCATTTTTTAGATTTTTATTTTAGGTTTGAGGGTACATGTGAAGATTTGTTACATAGGTAAACACATATCATGGGGGGTTATTGTACATATTATTTCATTACCCAGGTATTAAGCCCAGTACCCAATAGTTATTTTATTTTATTAATTTTTTTATGAGACAGAGTCTTGCTGTATGGCCCAGGCTAGAGTGCAGTGGTGCAATCTCAGCTCACTGCAACCTCCATTTCCTGGGTTCAAGTCAATCTCTTGCCTCAGCTTCCCGAGTAGCTGGGATTACAGTGGTCTGCCACCACATCCAGCTAGTTTTCGTGTGTGTGTGTGTGTGTGTGTGTGTGTGTGTGTGTATAGTTTTGTTTTGTTTGTTTTTAGTAGAGACGGGGTTTCACCACATTGGCCAGGCTGGTCTCGAACTCCTGACCTCAAGTGATCTACCCACCTCGGCCTCCAAAAGTTCTGGGATTACAGGAATAGGTCACCACACCTGACCCCCAATAGTTATCTCTTCTGCTCCTCTCCTTCCTCTCACCCTTCCTGCTCGAGTTGACCCCAGTGTCTGTTGTTTCCTTCTTTGTGTTTATAAATTCTTATCATTTAGCTCTCATTTGTAAGTAAAAGTATGCAATATTTGCTTTTCTGTTCCTGTGTTAGTTTGCTAAGGATAATAGCCTTCAGCTCCATCCGTTTTCCCACAAAAGACCACATTTTCTTTATCCAATCTGTCATTGATGGGCATTTAGGTTGATTCCATGTCTTTGCTGCTGTGAATAGTACTGCAATGAACATTCACTTGCATGTGTCTTTATGGTAGAATAATTTATATTCCTTTGGGTATATACACAGTAATGGGATTGCTGAGTCAAATGGTAGCTCTGCTTTTAGCTCTTTGAGAAATTGCTTTCCATAGTGGTTGAACTAATTTACACTCCCACCAACAGTGTATAAGTCTTCCCCTTTCTCCGTAACCTCGTCAGCATCTGTTATTTTTACCTTTTAAAGATAATATCCATTCTGGTCAGGCACGGTGGCTCATGCCTGTAATCCCAGCACTTTGGGAGGCCGAGGCGGGTGGATCATGAGGTCAGGAGTTTGAAACCAGCCTGGCCAACATAGTGAAATCCCGTCTCTGCTAAAGATACAAAAAAAGAAAAAAAAATTGGCCATGCTTGGTGGCACACACCTGTAATCCCAGCTACTTGGGAGGCTGAGGCAAAAGAATCACTTGAACTCGGGAGGCAGAGGTTGCGGTGAGCCGAGATTGCACCATTGCACTCCAGCCTGGGTGACAGGGCAAGGGCCCATCTCAAAAAACAAACAAACAAACAAACAAACAAAACCAAATAGGCATTCTGACTGATGTGAGATAGTATCTCATTGTGGTTTTGATTTGAATTTCTCTAATGATCAATGATATTGAACTTTTTTTCATATGCTGTCGGTTGCATGTATGTCTTCTTTTGAGAAGTGTCTGTTCATGTCCTTTGCCCACTTTTTAATGAGGTTGTTTTTCTCTTGTAAATTTGTTTAAGATCTTTATAGATGCTGGATATTAGACTTTTATCAGAAGCATAGTTTGCAAATATTTTCTCCCATTCTGTGGGTTGTTAGTTTACTCTGTTGATAAGTTTTTTCTGTTTTGCAGAAGCTCATAAGTTTAATTAGATCCCACTTGTCAATTTTTGCTTTTGTTGCTGCTACTTTTGGTGTCTTTGTCATGAAATCTTTGCCTGTTCCTATGTCCAGGATGGTATTGCCAAGTTGTCCTCCAGGGTTTTTATAGTTTTGGGTTTTGCATTTAAGTTTTTAATCTATCTTGAGTTGATTTCTGGGTACAGTATAAGGAAGGGGTCCAGCTTCAATCTTCTGCATATGGCTAATCAGTTATTCCAGAACCATTTATTGAATAGGGAGTCTTTTTCCCATTGCTTGTTGTTGTCAGCTTTGTCAAATGTCAGATGATTGTAGATGTATGGCTTTATTTCTGAGCTCTCTATTATGTTGCATTGGTCTCTGTGCCTGTTTTTGTACCAGTGACATGCTGTTTTGGTAACTGTAGCCTTGTAGTATAGTTTGAAGTTGGGTAATGTGATGCCTCCAGCTTTGTTCTTTTTGCTTAGAATCGCCTTGGCTATTTGGGCTCTTTTTTGGTTCCATATGAATTTTAAGGTAGTTTTTCTATTTCTGTAAAGAATTTCTTTAGTAGTTTGATAGGAATAACATTGAATCTGTAAATTGATTTGGGCAGTATAGCCATTTTAATGATATTGATTCTTTTGATCCGTGAGCATGGCATGTTTTTCCATTTGTTTGTGTCTTCTCTGATTTCTTTGTGCAGTGTTTTGTAATTCTTATTGTAGAGATCTTTCATTTCCCTGGTTAGCTCTATTCCTAGGTATTTTATTCTTCTTATGGCGATTGTGAATGGGATTGCCTTTCTGATTTGGCTCTCAGTTTGGCTGTCATTGGTGTATAGAAATGCTAGTGATATTTGTACAATTATTTTGTGTTCTGCAACCTCACTGAAGTTGCTTATCAGCTGGAGGAGCTTTTGGGTTGTGACTGTGGGATTTTCTCAATGTAGGATCATGTCATCTGCAAACAGAGATAGTTTGACTTCCTCTCTTTCTATTCCCCTTTTATTTATTTCTCTTTCCTGATTGCTCTGGCTAGGACTTCCAATACTATGCTGAATAGAAGTGGTGAGAGAGGGCTTCCTTCTCTTTTTCAGCTTTCAAAAAGAATGGTTCTGGCTTTTGCCCATTCAGTACAGCCTATGGGTTTATCATAAATGGTTCTTATCATGTTGAGTTATGTTCCTTCAGTGCCTAGTTCATGGAGAGTTTTTAACATGGAGAGATGTTGAATTTTATCAAAAGCCTTTTCTGCATCTATTGAGATAATAGTGGTTTTTATCTTTAGTTTATGTTATAAATCACATTTATTGATTTGCATATGTGGAACCAATCTTGCATTTTGAGGATGAAGCCTACTTGATCATGATGGATAAGGTTTTTGATATACTGAAGATTCAGTTTACAAGTATTTTGTTGAAGACTTTTGCACGCATATTTGTGAAGGATATCGGCCTAAAGTTTTATTCCTGTGTGTGTATTTCTGCCAGGTTATGGTATGAAGATGACTGGCCTCATAGAATGAGTTGGGAAGGAGTCTCTCCTCCATAACTTTTTGAAATAGTTTCTGTAGGAACCTTATCAACTTGTCTTTGTACATCTGGTAGAATTAAGACTGTGAATCCATCAGATCTTGGGCTTTTTTTCATTGGTAGGCTATTTATTACTGATTCAATTCCAGAGCTCATTATTGATCTGTTCAGAAAATTAATTTCTTCCTGGCTCAGTCTTGGGAGGGTGTATGTGTCCAGTAATTTATTCATCTCTTCTAGGTTTTCTAGTTTGTGTGTGTGGAGGTGTTTATAGTAGTTTCTGATGATTGTTTTTATTTTTGTGGGGTCAGTAGTAACATTCCCTTAGTCATTTCTTATTGTGTTGATTTGGATCTTCTCTCTTTTCTTCTTTACTAGTCTAGCTAGTGGCCAATCTATTTTATTATTTAAAAAAAAACTGGATTCATTGATCTTTTTTTTTGTTATACTTTAAGTTTTAGGGTACATGTGCACATTGTGCAGGTTAGTTACATATGTATACATGTGCCATGCTGGTGCGCTGCACCCACTAACTCATCATCTAGCATTAGGTATATCTCCCAGTGCTATCCCTCCCCCCTCCCCCCACCCCACCACAGTCCCCAGAGTTTGATATTCCCCTTCCTGTGTCCATGTGATCTCATTGTTCAATTCCCACCTATGAGTGAGAATATGCGGTGTTTGGTCATGAACAGACACTTCTCAAAAGAAGACATTTATGCAGCCAAAAAACACATGAAAAAATGCTCATCATCACTGGCCATCAGAGAAATGCAAATCAAAACCACAATGAGATACCATCTCACACCAGTTAGAATGGCAATCATTAAAAAGTCAGGAAACAACAGGTGCTGGAGAGGATGTGGAGAAATAGGAACACTTTTACACTGTTGGTGGGACTGTAAACTAGTTCAACCATTGTGGAAGTCAGTGTGGCGATTCCTCAGGGATCTAGAATTAGAAATACCATTTGACCCAGCCATCCCATTACTGGGTATATACCCAAATGACTATAAATCATGCTGCTATAAAGACACATGCACACGTATGTTTATTGTGGCATTATTCACAATAGCAAAGACTTGGAACCAACCCAAATGTCCAACAATGATAGACTGGATTAAGAAAATGTGGCACATATACACCATGGAATACTATGCAGCCATAGAAAATGATGAGTTCATGTCCTTTGTAGGGACATGGATGAAATTGGAAATCATCATTCTCAGTAAACTATTGCAAGAACAAAAAACCAAACACCGCATATTCATTGATCTTTTGAATGGTTTTCTGTGTCTCGATTTCCTTCAGTTCAACTCTGATTTTTGTTATTTCTTGGCTTCTACTAGCTTTGGGGTTGATTTGTTCTTGCTTCTCTAATTCCTTCAGTTGTAAAGTTAGCTTATTAACTCAAAATCTTTCTAACTTTTTGATGTGGGCATTTAGTGCTATGAATTTTCCTCTTACCACTACTTTATCTATGTCCCAGAGAATCTGGTATGTTGTATCTTTGTTCTCATTATTTTCAAAGAACTTCTTGATTTCTGCCTTAATTTCATTATTTATCCAAAAGTCATTCAGGAGCATGTCATTTAATTTCCATGTAAATGCATGACATTGAGTTATTTTCATAGTCTTGACTTCTATTTTTATTAAACTGTGGTCTGAGAGTGTGTTTGGTATGATTTGGATTCTTTTATATTTTTTGAGAATTGTTTTATGTTCAAATATGTGATTGATTTTAGAGTATGTGCCATGTGGTGATGAGAAGAATGCATATTTTGTTTTTTTTGGGTGGAGAGTTCTGTAAAGGTCTATTAGACCCATTTGGTCCAATGTTGAGTTTAGGCTCTAAATATCTTTGTTTATTTTCTGCCTTGATGATTTAATACTGTCAGTGAAGTGTTGACATCTCCCACTATTATTGTGTGAGAGTCTATGTCTCTTTGTAGGTCTCTAAGAACTGGCTTTATGAACCTGGGTGCTCCTGTGTTGGGCGCATATATATTTAGGATAGTTAGGTATTCTTTTTTTTTTTGGAGACGGAGTCTCGCTCTGTCACCCAGGAAGCTCCGCCTCCCAGGTTCATGCCATTCTCCCACCTCAGCCTCCCGAGTAGCTGGGACTACAGGCGCCAGCCACCACACCCGGCTAATTTTTTGTATTTGTAGTAGAGATGGGGTTTCACCATGTTAGCCAGGAGGGTCTCGATCTCCTGAACTCATGATCCACCTGCCTCAACCTCCCAAAGTGCTGGGATTACAGGCGTGAGCCACCACATGGTATTCTTGTTGAATTGAATTCTTTACCATTATGTAATGCCCTTCTTTGTCTTTTTTTATCTTTGTTGGTTTGTAATCTATTTTGTCTGAAATTTGGATTGCAGCTCCTGCTTTTTTTTCTGTTTTACATTAGCTTGGTAGATTTTCCTCCATCCCTTTATTTTGAGCCTATGAGTGTCATTACATGTGAGATGGGTTTCTTGAAGACAGCATACCACTGGGTCTTGCTTTTTTTAATCCAGCTTGCCACTCTGTGCCTTTTAAGTGGGGGCATTTAGCCCATTTACATTCAAGGTTAGTACAAGTGAATTTGTGTGGATTTGATGATCCTGTCATAGTGCTTGTTAGCTGGTTATTTTGTTGGCTTGTTTGTGTGGTTGCTTTACAGTGACATTGGTCTGGTCTCTGTGTTTAAGTGTGTTTTTGTATTCACTGGTAGCAGTCTTTCCTTTCTATATTTAGTGCTTATTTCAAGATTTGTTCTAAGGCAGATCTGGTGGTAGTGAATTCCCTCAACATTTGCTTATCTAAAAAGGATCTTATTTCTCCTTTACTTAGGATGCTTAGTTTGGCTGGATATAAAATTCATGGTTGAAGATTTTTTTCTTTAAGAATGTTGAATATAGGCTCTGAATCTCTTCTAGCTTGCAGAGTTTTATCTGAGTGGTCTGATGTTGTTCTCTTTGTAGGCAACAAGCCCTTTCTCTCTAGCTGCATTTAACATTCTTTCTTTCATTCTGACCTTGGAAAATATGATGATTGTGTGTCTTAGGGATGATCTTGCACAGAATCCTGCAGGAGTTTTCTGTGTTTTCTGAATTTGACTGTTGGCTTTTCTAGCAAGTTTAGGGAAGTTTCCATGGATGACAACCTGAAATATGTTTCCCAAGTTATTTTCTTTCTGTCCCTCCCTTTCAGGGATGCCAGGGATTTATAGATTTGGCCTCTTTACATAATCTCATACTTCTTAGAGGTTTTGTTCATTCCTTTTTATTCTTTTTGCTTTATTTTTCTCTGACTATCTTATTTCAGAGAACCAGTCTTCAAGTTCTGAGATTTTTTTCCTCAGCTTGGTTTATTCTGCTGTTAATACTTGTGATTGCATTGTAAAATTCTTGTATTCTGTTTTTCAGCTCTGTCCGCCCCATTAGGTTCTTTTTTATACCAGCTATTTCATCCTTCAGCTCCTGTTTCAGTTTATTGTGATACTTATTTTTCTTAATTTGGATTTTGTCATCCTCCTAAATCTCAATGATCTTTGTTCCTATTTATATTCTGAATTATATTTGTGTCATTCTAGCTAGTTCAGTCTGGTTAAGAATTCTTGGTGAAAAACTGGTGTGGTTGTTTGGAGGATATATGACACTGTGGCCATTTGAGATACTGAAGTCTTTTTTTAAAATTATACTTTAAGTTCTAGGGTACATGTGCACAATGTGCAGGTTTGTTACATAGCTATACATGTGCCATATTGGTTTGCTGCAACCATCAACTCATCATTTACACTAGGTATTTCTCCTAATGCTATCCCTCCCCGAGGTCCCCACCCCGCAAACAGCCCCGGTGTGTGATGTTCCTTACCCTGTGTCCATGTGTTCTCATTGTTCAAATCCCACCTATGAGTAAGAACATGCAGTGTTTGGTTTTCTGTCCTTATGATAGTTTGCTTACAATGATGGTTTCCAGCTTCATCCATGTCCATGCAAAGGACATGAACTCATCCTTTTTTATGGCTGCATACTATTCCATAGTGTATATATGCCACATTTTCTTAATCCAGTCTATCATTGATGGACATTTGGGTTGGTTCCAAGCCTTTGCTATTGTGACTAGTGCCACAATAAACATACATTTACATGTGTCTTTATCGTAGAATGATTTATAAAGCTTTGGGTATATGCCCAGTAATGGGATTGCTATGTCAAATGGTATTTCTAGTTCTAGATCCTTGAGGAATCCCCACACTGTCTTCCACAATGGTTGAACTAATTTACACTCCCACTAACAGTGTAAAAGTGGTCCTATTTCTCCACAACCTCTCCAGAATCTGTTGTTTCCTGACTTTTTAATGATCGCCATTCTAACTGGCATGAGATGGTATCTCACTGTGGTTTGATTTGTATTTCTCTGATGACCAGTGATGATGCGCATTTTTGCATATGTCTGTTGGCTGCATAAATGTCTTCTTTTGAGAAGTGTCTGGTCATAGCCTTTGCCCACTTTTTGATGGGGTTAATTGTTTTCTTCCTGTAAATTTGTTTGAGTTCTTTGTAGATTCTGGATATTAGCCCTTTGTAAGATGGGTAGATTGCAAAAATTTTCTCCTATTCTGTAGGTTGCCTGTTCACTCTCATGATAGTTTCTTTTGCTGTGCAGAAGCTCTTAAGTTTAATTAGATCCCATTTGTCAATTTTGGCTTTTATTGCCATTGCTTTTGGTGTTTTAGTCATGATGGCTTTGCCCATGCCTATGTCCTGAGTGGTATTGCCTAGGTTTTCTTCTAGGGTTTTTATGGTGTTCGGTCTTACATTTAAGTCTTTAATCCATCTTGAGTTAATTTTTGTGTACAATGTAAGCAAGGGGTCCAGTTTCAGCTTTCTACATATGGCTAGCCAGTTTTCCCAGCACCATTTATTAAATAGGGAATCCTTTCCCCATTTCTTGTTTTTGTCAGGGTTGTGAAAGGTCATATGGTTGTATATGTGTGGTGTTATTTCTGAGGCCTCTGTTCTGTTCCATTGGTCTATATATCTGTTTTGGTACCAGTACCATGCTGTTTTGGTTACTGTAGCCTTGCAGCATAGTTTGAAGTCAGGTAGCGTGGTGCCTCCAGCTTTGTTATTTTTGCTTAGGATTGTCTTGGCTATGTGGGCTCTTTTTTGGTTCCATGTGAACTTTAAAGTCATTTTTTCCAATTCTGTGAAGAAAGTCAATGTTAGCATTGAATCTATAAATTACTTTGGGCAGTATGGCCATTTTCACAATATTGATTCTTCTTATTGATGAGCATGGAATGTCCTTCCATTTGTTTGTGTCGTCTTTTATCTCATTGAGCAGTGGTTTGTAGTTCTCCTTGAAGACGTCCTTCACATCCCTTGTAAGTTGGATTCCTAAATATTTTATTCCCACTGTGGCTCTGTGTTTGTCTGTTATTGGTGTTTAGGAATGCTTGTGATTTTTGTACATTGATTTTGTATCCTGAGACTTTGCTGAAGTTGCTTATCAGCTTAAGGAGATTTTGGGCGGAGACAATGGGGTTTTCTAAATATATAATCATGTCTACTGCAAACAGGGACAATTTGACTTCCTCTTTTCCTAATGGAATACAATTATTTGTTTCTCTTGCCTGATTGCCCTGGCCAGAACTTCCAACACTATTTTGAATAGGAGTGGTGACAGTGGACATCCTTGTCTTGTGCTGGTTTTCAAAGGGAATGCTTCCAGTTTTTGCCCATTCAGTATGATATTGGCTGTGGGTTTGTCATAAATAGCTCTTATTATTTTGAGATATGTTCCATCAATACGTAATTTATTGAGTTTTTATCATGAAGGGTTGTTGAATTTTTGTCAAAGGTCTTTTCTGCATCTATTGAGATAATCATGTGGTTTTTGTCATTGGTTCTGTTTAATGTGATGGATTACATTTATTGATTTCACATGTTGAACCAGCCTTGCATCTTAGGGATGAAGCCAACTTGATCATGGTAGATAAGCTTTTTGATGTGCTGCTGGATTCGGTTTGCCAGTATTTTATTGAGGATTTTTGCATTGATGTTCATCAAGGATATTGGTCTAAGATTCTCCTTTTTTGTTGTGTCTCTGCCAGGCTTTGGTATCAGGATGATGCTGGCCTCATAAAATGAGTTAGGGAGGATTCTCTCTTTTTATATTGATTGGAATAGTTTCAGAAGGAATGGTACCAGCTCCCACTTCTACCTTTGGTAGAATTTGGCTGTGAATCCATCTGGTCCTGGAATTTTTTTTTTGGTTTGTAGACTATTAATTATTGCCTCAATTTCAGAGCTTGTTATTGGTCTATTCAGAGATTCAACTTCTTCCTGGTTTAGTCTTGGGAGGGTGTATGTGTCCAGGAATTTATCCATTTCTTCTAGATTTTCTAGTTTATTCACATAGATGTGTTTATAGTTTTCTCTGATGGTAGTTTGTATTTCTGTGGGATTGATGGTGATATCCCCTTTATCATATTTTTATTGCATCTATTTGATTCTTCTCTCTTTTTCTTATTAGTCTTGCTAACAGTCTATGTATTTTGTTGGTCTTTTCAAAAAACCAGTTTCTGAATTCATTGATTTTTTGAAGGGTTTTTTGTGTTCTATCTCCTTCGGTTCTGCTCTGATCTTAGTTACTTCTTGCCTTCTGCTAGCTTTTGAATTTGTTTGCTCTTGCTTCTCTAGTTCTTTTAATTGTGATATTAGGGTGTCAATTTTAGATCTTTCCTGCTTCTCTTATGGGCATTTAGTGCTGTAAATTTCCCTCTACACACTGCTTTAAATGTGTCCCAGAGATTCTGGTATGTTGTGTCTTTGTTCTCATTGGTCTCAAAGAACATCTTTATTTCTGCCTTCATTTTGTTATTTACCAAGTAGTCATTCAGGCATAAGTTGTTCAGTTTCCATGTAGTTGTGGGATTTTGAGTGAGTTTCTTAATTCTGAGTTCTAATTTGATTGCACTGTGGTCTGAGAGAGAGTTTGTTGTGATTTCTGTTCTTTTACATTTGCTGAGGAGTGCTGTACTTCCAATTATTTGGCCAATTTTAGAATAAGTGAGGTGTGGTGCTGAGAAGAATGTATATTCTGTTGATTTGGGGTGGAGAGTTCTGCAGATGTCTATTACATCCGCTTGGTGCAGAGCTGAGTTCAAGTCCTGGATATCCTTGTTAACCTTCTGTCTCATTGACCTGCCTAATATTGACAATGGTGTATTAAAATCTCCCATTATTAATATGTGCGATTCTAAGTCTCTTTGTAGGTCTCTATGGACTTGCTTTATGAATTTGGGTGCTCTTCTATTTGGTACATATATATTTAGGATTGTTCGCTCTTCTTGTTGAATTGATCCCTTTACCATTATGTAGTGGCCTTCTTTGTCTCTTTTTATCTTTGTTGGTTTAAAGTCTGTTATCAGAGACCAGGATTGCAACCCCTGCTTTTTCCTGCTTTCCATTTGCTTAGTAGATCTTCCTCCATCCCTGTGTTTTGAGCCTATGTGCATCTTTGCATGTGAAATGGGTCTCCTGAATACAGCACACTGATGGGTCTTGACTCTATCCAATTTGCCAGTCTGTGTCTTTTAATTTGGGCATTTAGCCCATTTACATTTAAGGTTAGTATTTTTACATTTGAATTTGATCTGTCATTATGATATTTGCTGGTTATTTTGCCTGTTAATTGATGCAGTTTCTTCATAGCATCAATGGTCTTTACCATTTGGCATGTTTTTGTAGTGGCTGGTACCAGTTTTCCTTTCCATGGTTAGTGCTTCCTTCAGGAGCTCTTGTAAGGCACACCTTGTAGTGACAAGATCTCTCAGCACTTGCCTGTCTGTAAAGGATTTTATTTCTCCTTCACTTATGTAGCTTAGTTTGGCTGGATATGAAATTCTGGGTTGAAAATTCTTTTCTTTAAAAATGTTGAATATTGGCCCCCACTCTCTTCTGGCTTGTAGGGTTTCTGCCAAGAGATCTGCTGTTAGTCTGATATGCCTCCCTTTGTGGGTTACCCAACCTTTCTTTCTGGCTGCCCTTAACATTTTTTCCTTCATTTCAACCTTTGTGAATCTGACAATTGTGTGTCTTGGGGTTGCTCTTCTTGAGGAGTATCTTTGTGGTGTTCTCTGTTTTTCCTGAATTTGAATGTTGGCCTGCCTTGCTGGGTTAGGGAAATTCTCCTGGATAATATCTTGAAGAATGTTTTCCAACTTGGTTCCATTCTCCCTGTCACTTTCCGGTACACCAATCAAATGTATATTTGGTCTTTTCACATAGTCTCATATTTCTTGGAGGCTTTGTTCATTTCTTTTCACTCTTTTTTCTCTAATCTTGTCTTCTAACTTTATTTCATTAATTTGATTTTCAATCACTGATATCCTTTCTTCCACTTGATTGAATTGGCTATTGAATCTTGTGCATGCGTCACGAAGTTTTTGTGCAATGGTTTTCAGCTCCATCAGGTCATTTAAGGTTTTCTCTACTCTGTTTTTTCTAGTTAGCCATTCATCTGACCTTTTTTTCAAGGTTTTTAGCTGCCTTGATACAGGTTAGAACATGCCACTTTAGCTCAGAGAAGTTTGTTATTACCAACCTTCTGAAGCCTACTTCTGTCAACTTGTCAAAGTTATTCTCCATCCAGTTTTTTTCCGTTGCTGGTGATGAGCTTTGATCCTTTGGAGGAGAAGAGGCGTTCTGGTTTTTGCAATTTTCTGCTTTTCTGCTGTGGTTTCTCCCCATCTTTGTAGTTTTATCTACCTTTGGTGTTTGATGTTGGTGACCTACAGATGGGGTTTTGGTGTGGATATCCTTTTTGCTGATGTTGATGCTATTCCTTACTGTTTGTTAGTTTTCCTTCTAACAGTCAGGTTCCTCAGCTGCAGATCTGTTGGAGTTTCCTGGAGATTCACTCCAGACCCTCAAACAGGGATTTCTTTGTGTTTTTGCATTGATTCTTTCTTATCTCTACATGTGGCTGTTGTTTTAGCTGCAGTGTAGATTGGGTAGTCAATAGACTTCTTTTCTGGATGTTTTTTGCCAGGCCTAGGCTTTGTGCAGGGTCTTTATTTGAAGCTACCTTCTTGTCTCTGGTTTCGGCAGAGGTATGTTAGTGAGGTGTTTTTGGTGATAAACCTTTACAGTATGATCCAGCAGGTGGCACGTAGGCTTATTAGTCAGTTGGTAAACTCTTGCTTGTTGTGTGGCTTCCCTGTTTCCTCACAGTTGCAGCCATGTTTCCTCTCAATGCTCTGAAAGCATGGGTTCCTCTTCCCCTTGAATGCTGGCTGTAGATTGTGACTTGGCACTCCTGAGCTGCCTGCTGCAGCTCTGGGGCAATCTTATTGTTTATGTTCCTTCCCCAACTTGGAGGCAGCAGAGGAAGGGATCTTAGTAGTGGTTTTGGTCAAGGGTCATTTGATTGTCTCCTGGGAGGCTCCATCCCAGAGAGATGCAGGTCAGCAATTGCTCAGCAGAATCAGCACAGGATGAAAGGTCTGTGCTGTGGGCCCAAGCCAGGGGCCCTCTCTGGTGATGAGAAGTGATGGGGGTGTGGGACCAGCGGGAGGTGGACTGGCCTCCTCTGATTAGGTTGACTGCCACTTGTTGGAGGTGTGGATAAGGCACGTAGGGTCTTTGCTCCTTCATTAGTCTGAGGTGGCAGTTCCACTGCAGAGGCAGTGGCAGAGAGGTTTTCAGTTGCCCCTGGAGGCTCCATCCAAGGAGTTGCTAAGTTGCTACTGGCTCAATAGCTCTGGCAGGTGGTGGCTGGAGGCCCAGGCCTGCCCAGTAAGGAGATATGGGAAAGGGCATCCATGTAACAGTCTGGCCAGTTTTCTGTAGGGCTGCTGTCGTACACTTGGAGCCTGCTCCAGTACCTAGTCACCTTAAATTTTCTAGTACCTGGAGGTATCACCAGTGAAAGCTGTGAAACTGTAAAGATATCAACCTGTCCCTTCCTCTGGGAGCTTCATCCCAGGGAAGTATGGGCCTGTTGTCATCCCAAAGGCACCTGTAGGAGGTGGCTGGAGACCCCAGCTGGGAGGTCCCATCCAGTGAGGAGGAAAGGGACAGAAGACTCTCTTAACAAAACAATTGGGCCATATTTTGGTAAAGTAGCTATGCTGAGCTGAGGGTCCACTTCAGTCTCCAGTCACCTCAGGTACTCTGAAGCCTGGAGGCTGGAAAGGCTACAGAGCCCAAACAGCAAAGATGGTAGACCACCCCTCCCTCTGGGAGTGCTGTCCCAGGAAGAATTCAACTCTCTGTTGGCTGGAGAACATGGGCAGAGTTGTCTGGAGGCTCCAGTTGGGAGGTTCAGCCCAGTGAGGAGGAACAGATTGGGCACTTGCTTAAAGCAGCAGTCTGGCCACATTTTGGTAGAGCAGCTATGTTTTACTGGAGCATCCCTTCCACTCTTTGTTGACTTGGACCCTCTAAAGCCTATAGGCTGGAACAGCTAAGGCATCCAAACAGCAAAGATGGTGACCCACTTCTCCCCCTGGGAGATGCAATGCCCCTATCATTTGCTGCCTGGAATTCCAAGCCAGTGGGTCTTATCTTGTGATGTGCAATGGCAGTGAGGCTTGCAGGCTGTCGCTGCTCAGCCCTCTGGATTCAACCTCTTTCCTAGGGGTATGTACAGGAGTCTAATCTTCCATGTGGCCGGAGATGCAGCTTTTTTGCTGGAAAGCCCGAGTATTTAAGTCTCCAGGGTCTCCAAGAATGCCTGAGTGGCCGCTCTGCTGAGTTTCCACATAGCTCTGTCAGACTGAAGGCCTGGTGGAGTAAGTTTGCAAGGGCATCTCTTGACCCAAGCATTTCAAAGATCCATGGGAGAAGCATGGTTTTCCAGGGTTGCACCTTCACTCACTGCTTCCCTGGTCTGGGGAGGTTCCTCTGGCTCTGTATTGCTCCCCAGTGGGCTATTGTCCTGTCTTGCTTTTCTTCATTCTCTGTGGGCCAAGTTGTTTCCTTGATTAGTCCCAAAGTGAGTACCTGGATATTTCAGTTGAAGGTGTTGTGCTTACTTTTCTCTTCCATTCTTCTCCATGAGAGTCATGAACACTAGCTCCTTCTAGTTGGCCATCTTGGCCACTCCCTCTCTCACCTTTTATTCTAATTTTTTATCTCTCTCATTTAGTAGATCATAAATTCAGTAGGATCTACTTCTTTAATTATTATAGAGGTAGATTACCATAATTATATAATTATTGAATATGTCACAGACACTTCAACCACTAATCCTAACACTGCATTTTTAGCTCCTAAAACTTATATTTATTTATAATATTTGCCTTTTAAAATATTCATTGTGCCTTCAAAGCTCAGCAGATAAAATATAAACTTCTTATATTGGCCTGTGAAGTTCAAAGTCTGTCTTCAACTGACATTTCCAACTCCAAGAAGCTACTACAAGGGTTCTACATTCCTGAACTCACCAAATACTTTCGTGCCTCCACGTCTTTGCCCATGCTATTTCTAGTACCTGGAATACCCTTTCTGTCTTGTTCCATTTCTCCATCTTCTCAAAGAATGAAGCTATCACTCAAAATGATGAGACAAATAAACAAAACATGCTGAATTTATTGCTTGGCTAAGTGAAGGATATCTAGGCTGTTTGGTCACAGTTTTTCCAGGCAGGAAAACAGTTTATCTTGTATAAGGATTTGTAAAAAGCATAGAGTTCAAAAGAGTGGTGACTAGTTTGTTGTCAACTGTAGAAATGTGGTTATTTGAAGAAGACTTTTCTTGATTATGTGGCATTTGGAAGTATGTTTTTGAAATGAGTCCATTTCTGACTGGCTGACCTTCAAAAGCAAGGGGTTGTCATTAATTGATTGACTTACAGAAACATGTTCATTAAACAAGTTGTATTTGATTTAAGGAAACATTTTAATTTGATTTGGTTAAACATTTTAAATATGTTTAAAACAAATTCAGATGGTTTATGGCTGTGGAACTCTTACTCATTGATTAAGTAGGTTTAAAACTTATTCTGGTCACTATTTGTTACCCTGGCTTTAGAACAATTAGTCTTCTTGTAGGAGTGTGGGAAGTTAAAAATTTTTTTCAATCACCCTTTTACATATTTCCTCAACTAAAGTTTGAGGGAAGACATCAAGGACTACCCATATTTTCATCCTAGTTGTTGATTCTCCTTGCAGATGTGGTTTTGTTTGCACATGTCTAAATTTCACTCAACTGTTAATCAGCATGGCTTCATCCTCTTCATTGTTTTTGTTATTTGGTCAGTCATTGTTTGGGATGATGGCTACATGACAACATTTAAGACTTTGGAAAATAAATGTTGAACAATTTCATGACAAATATAAAAAGAATATTATTAAAAGAAACTGATAGACACTCTCAAATAATAAACCAAGATTTCTGAGAATTGACCAAAAAACAAATTCCACTGACTCCTTGAGTCTTCCATAGATGGATAGATTGTCTTTTATTTTAGTTTTGATATGAATTGCTCCATTTAAACCAAGCTGTTAATTCAGGTTCAACATAAATTATGAAATAGTACTGATTTCCTCTAATTGGCCAGGAGAAAATCTAAGGCTAGTTTATTTTTCATAATTACTTAGCTGAAGGAATTTTAAAAGGTCAGTTGTGTATCCAGGACAAGAGCCATAGTAGAGAATTCACTTTTGATGACCTTTTCAAGTTTTCCAGCTTCTATGAATGGGATCATTACCCTTAGGCTTTGTTTCACCAATTACTATTCATTTTCATAGGAAAGGTTGTATCCATACAGATGCTTTGTTAAGAAACTGTACATTGAGGGTACCAGTGAATCATAAACTAGAAATAGTCTAGCTATTAGCACTACAGAACAAGCAGTCTTGGTCCTGAGTTGGCACTGAAGGTGCTCATTTCCTCATAGGAAAAAGAACTCAGATACTTCAAAAGAGATATATGCAATCTTAATAGAACTGTAAATATATTATCTCTAGGTGTCATCATGACAGTCATTGTTGCATCCCAGTAGTACCTGTATCACCTTGCATTACATGGGCATTTAATTTCATTTATATATTGTCTATAAGGAGTATTATTATTGGCAAGGTCGGTGTAACATATCTTTATACTGTTTTTCAGAATGGCTGCATTAGCAATAACCTGGATGAGCTAAACTATAGAGTGGTAATTGTATTTAATAAGCCTAGACTTAAGCAAGAATTATTCATAAGAAGGCATTATGGACTAAGGTAGAAGCATATAAGTTAAAATAGCAAAGAGAAACATTATGACTAAAAGGAAAACAGACGAAACCATTTACATGAGAGTTTAGAAATCAGTACTTTAAAGTATCTGGGCCAACGGTTGGCAAATTACAGCTTGTAGGACAAATCTGGCTTATTAACTGCGTTTATAAATAAAGTTTTATTGGTATACAGCCATGCTCATTTTGTTTATGTATAGTTTATGGCTGCTTTTGCACTACATTGCAAGAGTTGAATAGTTTTGGTAGAGACTTAAAGGACTGAAAGCCTAAAATATTTATTACCTGTTTCTTTATAGAAAAATGTTGCTAACCATTAATAGACTAATTATTCCAATGGGTCTGGGTGGAAGCTATCTGCTTAATGTAGTCATCAACTTGTTCCAAATATCTTGGGTTAATAGTTAACTTCCACTAACATCTGAAACTAGGATTTCTCCACAGATCCCTATTTTAAGGTTTCTCGTTCCTTAAATCAGATCGGGGTTCTAGGGTCTAGATTAATACCTGCTATATTGAAAGCATATAATAGGTGGTTGGTAAAATGGCTTTGAATGCCTACTCTTCTCCAAGCATTGAACTCAGTGCTGCACGAATACAAGGGTAATACAGACATACTGCTTTTATCCAGTAAATATTGGGATAAAAGTATAAAAGTCGCTCTAACACAAGATTAAACATCATAAATGTTTTAAGAGGGCTATAGGCCAATAACTATGAAGACCCAAGAAACATTTGATATAGGTCTTTAAGAGATGAGGGAAAAGGGCATTTCTAGAAAATAGATCATTATGAGGAAAGGCATGGTGATAGGATAGCAGAGAACATCTCTGGGGTATAATAATCAATCCTTTATGTACCAGTATATAAAGCACCTACTAGAAAGCATTAGAAGATCTGGGGAAAGTGAATTAATTTTTTCTGGGATTGGATTTACACAGTGGCATGCTGGAGCTGGCTCACACCAGCTTATAAAAGCTGGTTGCTAATATTAAAGAATCTTTTAAGCTGGTCGTTAAATCTTTGGTAGCTTGAAATTGGCCATCTTAAGCATATTTACTCTACTGAACATGTACATGCTACATAAATAAATCTGGCTTTCATTCTCTCTCTTCCTCTTTCTATCTCCCTTCCTTCTCCTTTCTTCTTTCTTTCGTACTCTTTTCCAGATAACCGGCACACTACTGGATTTATGTAACACCAGGAATTAGATTATTATGGACCCTCTGAACAGTTGAATTGTTTCAGTTTTCATTCAGATTTAAAATGTTGCTTGTGGGTCTACTCCCTAGCCTGATAGTTTGCAAGTGAGAAGAGCCATGGAAACTGCAGAAGACAGGAGCTCCTGACTTTCTGGCCTTCCTAGGATCATGTGCAGGCTGATGCTCCCTCTTATGGTTGACAGAAATTCTTCCAGACTCCTCAGAAATAGAATTTTAGGGTTATGCATCGGAATCATGCAGCCCTATCAGTGGTCACAAAGCAATTGTGAGGGAAAAAAAACAGGCTAGGCTTGGAAGTATCTCAGCAAGAAAAAAAAGCAGTTAGAGAGAAAGAGAAAGAGGGAAGGAGGGAGGGAGATGGGGGTTAAGCATAGTGTTCTCACACCGCTATAAACAACTGCCCGAGACTGGATAATTTAAAGGAAAGAGGTTTAATTGACTCACAGTTCCACATGGCTGGGGAGGCCTTAGAAAACTTACAATCATGGCAGAAGGGGAAGCAAACACATCTTTCATCACATGGTGGCAGAAAGGAGAAGTGCCAAGCAAAGTGGGGAGAAGCCCCTTATAAAACCATCAGACCTCCTGAGAACTCACTCACTATCATGAGAGCATTATGGGGGAAACCGCCTCCATGATTCAGTTATCTCCACCTGGTCACATTCCTGACATGTGAGGATTATTACAATTCACGGTGAGATTTGGGTGGGAACATAGAGCAAAACCATATCAGGTAGAGAGGAGGGAGATAGAGAAGGGGCAGAGAGAGAGAGACAGTGAGAAATTGAGAGAGAGACAGTGAGAAAGTGAGAGAGAAGAAAACAACAATAACAATAATGGAATGAATTGGGTAAAAATAAGGCAAAGTCCAAGGGGGAGCTAAGAAGATGAGCTTAAGCTTGCAGAAAAGATATCAAGTTTTCGGAAAAGGGAAAGAGTTTACTTTGAACTATGTCTATGGTTTCATAGTTTCTGTGGCTCTTTTGGCACTAATTTATGGCATGGATCTAGCCAGAAATCATGTATATGGTTCAAACCTCAGATGAATAACTTTAGCTTTAATTGTTTAAACGAGAAAGTGTGGTTGAGAAAACCTTGGAAATGTAAGAAATTAATCAGCTGCCATCTCTTGTCTTTGAGAGTTAGAATTGAATTAACTGAGATTTCATATCTGGGCCTCCCATATTGATATGCTGATCACATATTTATTTCTAAATAAAGGTGCATAAGAATACCCCACAGGGTTACTGTAAAAATTAAATGAAATAAATTGAGTTTCCAAAATTTTCCTAATGATAGTAATCACAGAGAATGTTATACTTCACACAAAAGGGGGGGAAATCCCCTGGCATGCTTGTTAAACACATAAATTCCTAGGTCCCATCTCAGACCCACTGAATGAAAAATGTGCAGGACAGGGATCATAGAAGTTGTTTGTTTAACAAGAGCTCCAGGTTATTCTTATTATCAAGCAAATTTGGTAAAAAAAGAGTTAATATATGTGAAAATACCTTATTGTACAATAATAAGGGCATAATTGGAAAAAACTATGGAGTGAATGAGTGAACCATCAAATGACAGGTGTTATTCAGCAAGCCGTTGCAAGTTCCTTGACTCAATCTTCCATATTCAGGGGAACAATATTAATACTTATTGCTACCCAGAAGCTGGGGAAGGATTAGAGTCTGCCACTGAAAATTGCTCTGTGGTCTCTCGAAGGTAAGTGCTGTGTAAACACCAGCTGCTAGGTTTATTCATTCATTGGAGGCAGGCAGGAGAAGTTGAAAAATATTTGTCTCAGAGAGCTACTCTCTTACAGAGAATAGTGTGCGTAGGTTGTAGCTCTAAGAGACCACACACTGCTGGGGAGATATGTAGTAGGGAAGAGCAGAGTCTGTAATAATGCCAAGCAGTTGAATCTCAGATCTCCAGGGGTCAGGCACCAAAGGGGGCAGAGACATCCTTGAGAGCAATAGGTCCTGTCCCATTGACAAATGCTTTCAGGAAGAAAAGATGCTTGATTTTTTCTAAGTGAAATAATCTAGTCTCTGGGAAGAGGATCATTTTTCATGGCCCAGAACTCCTCACTGACAGTTCTCTCTGGGAAGTCATGAAGAGGGATGAGGCTCAAAGAAAGGCATTCCAGGACCTTCGCCCTTCACCATCAGCAGCATGTGATGGAGTCAGCAAAGGTGTTCCTCTGTCTGGGCTAGGTGAGGACAGCCTAGCCCAGGTTCCACAAGTGTACTTCTTTCCTTCAAAGAAGTTCTGAAAACATATGCCAGTGGGGAGGAAATCTACTCTGAGCAAGTTCTAATCACCACAGCCTACGATATTCTTCCTTCTCTCTGCCAACTTCGTCCTTCTTCACCTGCCTCCAAAATTCAATTAAGAACTGTCTTAGTACATTCTGGCTGCTATAAGAAATTTCCATAGGCTGGGTAGCTTATAAACAACAGAAATTTATTTTTCATGGATCTGGAGGCTGGGAAGTCCTCCAGATCAAGGCACCAGCAGATTCTGTGTCTGTTGAGGTCTGGCTTTCTGGTTCATAAATGTTGCCTTCATGCTGTGCCCTCACATGGTGAAAAGGGCAAGGCAGCTCTCTGAGCTTGCTTTTATAAGGGCACTAATCTTAATCATGAGGGCTTTTCTCCTATGACCTAATAACTCCCAAATGCACTGCCTCCTAATACAATTGCCTTGGGGGTTAGAATATCAGCATATGAATTTTAGAGGAACACAAACACTCAGACCATAGCAGTACTTATTCCTTTGAATGTCTTCCCTGACTCTTCCTGCTTCAGTTTCCTTCCATTTCCTAGATTCTACTCAGTTCTTGGAACATTGTTCGATTTTTAGGCCACAGAACAGCTTAAAAATCAGGGATCTAAAGCCAACCTTCTCAGTTTCATGGTCATTTTATACTTTGAGTATTTCAGCCAAAACCACACTATCTCTTCTCTCCTTTTTTATTCTAGATTTGTGTGTGTGTGTGTGTGTGTGTGTGTGTGTTTCACTTTGTTTGGTTACTAATAAATCTTATAAAAATAGGAGCAGATTTTTTCTACTTCCCATGGCCCTCTTCTGGAGCAATGGGTTCATGAGGTTTACTCTTAATTATCTAGAAAGGGCTATGATATGAGTAACCCTTAAATATCAAATAATTCAAAAGTAAGATGCCTATAACTAGCTTTTAATTCAGTCTGATATTAACATTGGATATTTCCATAAGCTTCCCTACCAGATGTGAGGCAAAGAATAGCTACCAGAAACATGATGTAGAGTAGAATGCATGACTAAAATGTAACTGGAATGGATGTCAGCTGTGGAAAAGGCACAGAATTAAAAATTCACTTGGATATTAAGAGTTAACAGAAATGGGTACTGATTCCCTTTGGGAATCTTATAATAAAGAGTAATTTCAAAATATAGGAAGTAATTCCTACTGACTAGAAGAAATGTTTTACATATTACTTGGGTTTTCCCAAAGGGTGGAAAGGTAGTACAATAAAATCTTCATTATTCAAAATGTATGATTACTTGACCAGGAGACGGTCTAACATTCACCTTTGTCCTCACTATCATTAAAGAACAGTTTGAATACGAATGTTACATGATGGAAATATCACCTGAAAATATTAAAATGGAGAAAATATTTTGAAGACATGTTCAATTTACACTTAAAAGTTTATTGTAAATCATCATCGTCTATTCATTTTGCAAATATCCCTAGAAAATAGATAAAATTGGGTAATTATAATAATTTTATAAGCCTTATTAATAAAAAGAATACATTTATGCTCTTTTAGAGGCTTCTATAATTTAGTCTTCTAAATTATAACAAGTTAGCCTCCCCCAAATTAGCTTTTTAGTATATTTTTCAGCTCTTCCTACACTTAGATCAGTATCATACCAAATTTGAAGTTGAGGTACATCAAGTAATGACAGTAATGGTGATGATGCAAATTACACAGAAAATTGTCCTACCTAACCTGATTATGCTTGAAATTTATACTACACTTATTTTTTACTGATAACCTGATTTTTGGGGGACCTCTATGACTTTTAGAATGGTTGGTTTATAGGATTAACATAATATCTTTGGGACTCTGTATGGGATGAAGCTCCTGTTCCTATTAAAGTATTAGTGAGTTCTGTGAATCTCTGTGGGGATAGCTGGTCTGACTCATGTCAAACTTGATAGGAAGCTGTGATAAAGAGAGTGAAGAAGGAAGGATGTAGATTTCATCATTGCCAAGAATTAGCTTGAGGAGGGGGATAACTTACAGCATGCAGCTAACAAGAGGCACCAAGATCAAAGGCTAACTGCCATGCCTCCCGGAAGCATAGGACTATGCAGGGAAGAAAGAGGAAAGCAGATGTTAAAATCAAAGAAATCTCAAAAAAGTTTTGGTAAATGGCTCTAAATGGGCCACAGGGGACATCTTCATAGGAAAAGCTGAGAAGAACCCTGACAGGTATGGGAAATTAGGTGATTTCTTTTTTTTTCATTTCTTCCTTTCCTCTTCACTCTTCTTCCACTCCCCTTCTCCCCATAGCCAACAATTAATTGACTAAACCACAAAAGGTCCCTGGGTAGATATTGACTTTCATCACTTCACCTTCCTCCTCTATCAGCTGGGCTGAAGATGGTGGCTGCAATGAAAAACAGGTCATGACATAGAAAGAAAAGGAAAATGATTTCTCCAAGGAAGACAGAAAAATATAGAGCTGGTATTCATGATTTAACAATAGATCCAGAAATCTTTCCTAATAATATGTATATATCTTGTCATCTCTGGACATCTGCTTCAGCACCCTCAGAGGTTAACCAGAGTCACAGTGTAGAAAGGGATCCTCTCTTCTATTAATGTTATCAATTTCTCCATTCCTCCCTTATTTCCCTGCACCTGAAGATGAGAGCAATACAGGGTAAAGAAGCCTAGTTTTGCAGCCACATACATCTGAGCTTGAATCCCAGCTCCAATTCCTGCTAGCTATGTGATGTAGAATGCGTTAACATTTGATTCTCAGTTTCCACACATCTACCTTGCAATGTTGCTGTGAGGATTAGAAACAATATATAAAATACTGGCACAGGCCGGGCATGGTGGCTTATGCCTGTAATTCCAGCAGTTTGGGAGGCTAAGGCACGCAGATTGCTTGAGCTCAGGAGTTTGAGACAAGCCTGGGCAATATGGCGAAACCCTGTCTTTACTAAAAATACAGAAACTAGCTGGGTGTGGTGGTGTGTGTCTATAGTCCCAGCTATTTGGAAGGCTGAGGTGGGAGGACGGCTTGAGCCCAGGAGATGGAGGTTGCAGTGAGCCAAGTTCGTGCCACTGCACTCCAGCCTGGGAAACAGAGTGAGACCTTGTATCAAAAAAAAAAAAAAAAAAAAAGAAAGAAAGAAAGAAAGAAAATACTAACACAGTATTGGGATGTAAGTAGACAGACTTTGAATAGATCACATAACAGCTCTAAACCTCAGCTTTTTCTTCTGTCAAATGAGATTACAATAGTGCTTACTTTACAGTATCACTGGATGTAATAAGAAAGTGATAGCATAACACAGTGGTTAAAAGTGCAGGCTCTAGGGTCAGACTACAGGTTCAAATCCTGACTCCATCCTCAAAGGCTATGTGACTGTGCAAGTGTTTAATCTCTTCATGCTAGGTTTTCCAATTTATAGAGTGGAAATAATAATAGCATGTAATTTATGAGATTGTTAAAAAATTAAATTAGGTTATATCCTTAATGTACCAAGAACAGTGCCTGGTATAAAGTAAGTGCCATATAAATGTTAAATTCTGAAAAAAAAGAGGCCATGCACAGTGGCTCACACCTGTAATCCTGGTGCTTTGGGAGGCCAAGGCAGGTGGATCACTTGAGGTCAGGAGTTAGAGATCAGCCTGGCCAACATAGTGAAGCCCAATCTCTAGTAAAACTACAAAAATTAGTCAGGTGTGGTGGCGCACGCCTGTAATCCCAGGTACTCTGAAGGTTGAGGTGGGAGAATCGCTTGAACCCAGGAGGCTGGGGTTGCAGTGAACTGAGATTGAGCCACTGCACTCCAGCCTGGGCGACAGAGTGAGACTCTGTCTCAAAAATAAAAAGAAAAGAAAAAGAAAAAAGAGTGATATCATATATGGAACATATTGATATAGTACCTCATACACAATCAGAATTTTAATATTAGTATTATTAGATAATGATGATTATATCATTGTTTTAGTTTAATATTAGGTGAATTCCTCTCACATGACTTTTGAAAACTTCTGCAATAAAGCAAATTGCAGAATTATAAATCCCAGGGCAGTAAAACATAGCTAAAAGGTAATTTTGTGTGGTGACTGTAAAAAATGACCCTAAAATTATTTGGCTTTCATCTCATTAGGTGGTTGAGTTTACATTCCCTTCCACTGAATTGGGTTCTGTAACTACCTACATGATATGATAATGTAGAAGTGGTGCTTCAACTTCCTATCTGCTGGGATACCTGTTCTTGGATCCCAGCCACAATGCCATGAGGAAGCCAGTCGCAGAGAAACCCCTGTAAGGAAAAACTGAGGCCCCCAGCTCAGCTAACTCTGGCATATGAATGAATCATCTTGAAAGTGCATCCTTATGCCCCAGGCAGGCCACCCCAGAGCTGACACTGCGTAGAACAGAGACTGGAAGTTCCTGTTGTGCCCTACCCAAATTGCAGATTTGTGAACAATTTTTTTGTTTGTTTTTAGCTATTAGTTTTGGGAAGGTTTATTATGCAACAATAGATAGGCGGAACATTTAGTTTGTTTTCCCATCAGATGTCTGCATCTCCTCTATACTATTACTTTGGTTATCTAAGCTTCACTTAACTATTCAGTCATTAAACACATATTTGTTGAATATCTATGTACAGACATTTTTCTAGGCACTAGGGGATACATCAGTGAATAACAAAGGTTATGGTTGCAGATTTCCTCATTCTAGGGAGAAAGAAAGACAATAAAATATGTAATATATAAATATATAATATCAATATATATTGTATTTTAATGTCTGGGATTGACATGTGCTTTGAAAGGAAGAAAAGATAAAGAGTGATGAAATGTGTGTGTGTGTGTTGGGGACAGTTGTTGATATTTTAGAAAGGATGTTTCAGGAACACTCTAATGAGTTGACATTTGAAAAAAGATCTGAAGTAAGTGAGGAAGCTGATTATACTGATCCACAGAGGAGGAAGTTTCCTAGCAGAAGGAAGAGCAGCATAAGGTCTTAAGTTAGGAAGATACCGACAAGGAATCAGGAAAGAGACTTGTGAAGTTGGAAAGGAGCATGTAAGGGGAAGACTGATAGGCGACAAGGTCTAAGAGAAAGTGAAAACTTAGATCACACTGGCTCTTAGAAGACATGTAAAAAAAATTTAATTTCAAGCTAAATGATAAGCTATTGGAGGGTTTTGAAGATTTCATTATGTTAATTAAAGTAAAATCTACACAAACTAAAATGCACAAATTTTAGGTGCACATTTTGATGAGGTTTAACAAATGCACTCCTGTGTACATAACCTTAATCATCCTAAAAGTTTTCTTTTGTTCCTGGCCCATCAACTCCCACCGCTAATAGGCACTCACTATTCTGATTTCCATCACCATAGATTAAGTTTACCTATTCTTGTATTTAATATAAATGGAATTATACAGTATCTACTATTTTGTTTCTGGTTTCTTTCACTTAAAAATGCTTTTGAGATTCATCCATATTGTTGTATATACCCATAGTTTGTTTTTTTTTACTGCTGAGTAATATTCTACTCTATGAATTTATCACAATTAGTTTATTTATTCACCTATTGGTAGGCATTTGGGTTGTTGCCAGTTCTTATTCTCCTTGAATAAAGGTTTTATAAACATTCTTGCACAAGTTTTTTTGTGGGCATATGATTTTGTTTCTCATAGGTAAAATGCCTAAGAGTAGAAGTGGCGGGTTATAGGGTAGAGGCATGCTTAATTTTATGGCAATTTAAACCATTTTTCAAAGCATTTGTACCATTTTCTACTCCTACCAGCAGTGTGTGAGAATTCCGGTTACTTAAGATACTAGACAACAGTTGGAGTTGTCAGTTCTTTAATTCTCTGCCCTCACTTCCTACTCTCATAGCAGTCGTGAGAACCTATGCTTACCATGCTTCACTAGAGGGCCAAGAGAGGAAACTAGAGCTTTGAGAAAAGAGTAAGTTTCTAGAAAAATTTCAGTATCTTCATGATTGTTCACATGTTAAAAAACATCTGATGAACTGAAATAAGATCTCCCTCTCCACTTCTGTAACGTAGTTCACTATTTGACCAACCTCCTTAATAAGACAACATTTTCTGTATCTACTTCTATATGTGTTTCTTATGTTGTCAGAAAATGTAGTTTATCATCTTTTAGTGTATCTCACAAAAAGTGATTTGTGTATTTCAAAAAGTAATTTGTATATTTCAAAAAGTAATAACTACTCATTTTGCTCTTTTCCTTGTTATGTAATCTTGTTGCTTTAACATTTTCATATAAATCTGATTTTCCAATCTCTTTAGTCATGTTTGTGACTATTCTAAGTGCTTCTAAATGGACTACATCTAGCCACTCAGTTGAATCCATAGTTTCAGGTTCCAAAGCAGTGATTTCAGCTGTAAATTTCCTTTAAGCATCTCTGAAGTTATACGCATGTCAGCTAGTATGATTTGATTTTTATGGTTTGTATAATTTTTCTACTTACATCATTTTTAAGAATGAAGGTATGAAAGATCTCTAGCCACATGTGTGCTGTATGTATATGTGCAATGCTACATACTTGAATAAACACAGCCTCACTAATTAAATTATATGCCCACACAAACACATACACATCGAACACACACACACATACATACACAAACACATGCACATATACACACTCTCTCTTGAGCACATAAAACATTCAGATAAATGCAGTTAGGGTGTTTATTTGAATGGGTTATGGTGTAGTCACTCAAATATGCCCTTTTCCTTGGTTTACGGGGCTCTTGTGTCGTTTGATGACATAAAGACCCTGCCCTAGATTTATAAGGGTCCTTTCTATCACACGGTTATCTCTCATTTTCATCCTTTACGTCGCCTTCTCTTCTGTTCCACGAAATGGAAACAACCACATCACCCTATATAAATCTTACGTGAATGGGATGAGACAATAGCCAATAATTGTAAAACAAACTAACAAAAAAAATCACTTTGCATCATGTGAGACTTTTACATGTAAAACCATTTAATGATTTAGGTTTTCTTTTTAGAAATATGCAACTTAAGGGAGAAAAAAAAAGCATGTTTTGATGTGTTTCCTAGGCTTCTGACAGTTTCCAGATGGCTTAAACACTCATGAAGAAATGTGACTGAGCACATATTGGATATGTTTTATTCCAACAAAAGAATAATCTGTTGACTATATTGGGTTATGATATGGTTTGTATATTTGTCTTCTCAAAATATCATGTTCAGATGTAATCCCCAGTATTTGAGGCAGGGCCTAGTGAAAGGTATTGGATCTGGAGTGGATCCCTCATGAAAATCTTAGTGCCATCCCCTTGATGATGAATATGTTCTCACTTAGTTAGTTCATGAGAGATCTGGTTGTTTAAAATAGTCTGGGACCTCCCCCACTCTCTCTCTAACTCCCTCCCTGCCATGTGATGTGCTGGCTCCCCTTCACCTTCCAGCATGATTGTAAGCTCCCTGAGGCCTTATTAGAAGCCAAGCAGATGCCAGCACCAGGATTTCTTTACAGCCTGCAGAACTCTGCACCAATTAAACCACTTTTTCTTTATAAATCACCAAGTATCTATTTCTTTATAGCCACACAAGAAGAAACTAATACAGGTTATAATTTATTATTTTGCTTATCTGTGTTTTCTATTTGGTGATGAGTGAAAAAACCAATGCTTCATTAATCTATTGTATATCTAGTAAGAATCACAGTCCTTGACACACAATAATTGCCCAGTTAAAACAATGTCATGCTGAATGAATGAATTCCACTAGATTCTCAAAGCCAGTTGATGAAAGAAGCAGTGGGACATGGACTGCGCAGGAAACTGTTGTCTCCACCAGTCTAATAAAACTGTTCTCCTCAAGGTCACTAATAATCTCCATCATGTGAAATCTAAAGGTCAATTATCAGTCCTTTATTTTCTCAATTACTTCTATTCTCCCTGTGTCCTCTCTTCTATGCCCCACCCATTCCCCACATTTCATTCTCCACATGTTATCAAATTATTTTTGAAGACCCTATAATGGTCAGGGTTTTTTCTAAAGTATAAATCAGATTGTGTCTGTTCTCTCCTCAAAACCTTTCAAAGGCTTTATCTCATGTAGAGTTAAATTTAGAGCTCTTACCATAACCTCCAAGACTCTACAATTTTTGCCCCCAACCATCTTTCTGACCTCATCTGTAACATCCCCTTGCTCACTCTTCTCCAAACACACTGACCTGATTGCTGTTATTTGAGTTTGCCAAGCATGTTCTGACTACAGGGCTGTCCATGTGCTATTTTTCTATAATTTTCTTCCTTGAGATTCCACATAGCCTCTTTCCTCACTTTATTCAATGTTAAATTGTCACTTCTGTGACAGCCCTACTTAAAATAACCCATCTCGTTCTATAGTCAATTGCTTTATTTTCACATCTACCACCACCAGCCATAAGATATCATGATGTTTGTTCATCATTCTTTTCCACTAGATTGTAAACCCCATGACTGCAGGGAATTGTTCAGATTTATTTACTGCTGTTTCCTTGGAGTCTAAAACAGTGCCTGGCAGATTGTAAGCATTCTTAAATGTTTTCTGTACAAATGAATACAATGTAAGTCTATTAGGCACTTGCTGTCCTGAAATATAGTTTATGTGGTCTCTTAGGTTTTCAAGAAACACCCCGTCTCAGTATTCCTTGGTACATAATCCTCATTCCTGAAAAGGAAGTGGACAAACTTAAAAAATCCTCCTTGAATGAGAAGAAAAGAGACTCATTTGAAGTTCAATGTTACCATTAGGAATAACCTAATTGAGAGTTACTGGAAGAAAGGAAAATAAGGGCCCCAAACTAAATTCATAAGGGCAGAAGTAAGATTCTTATGTTGATCTGGGTTTTTGAAGAAAAGCTGGTAATGGCCCAGATTGTGACTGAGGCTAGAAGCTTCCCCAGGCCCAGCCAACTCTTGAATAACTGACATGCTTGAAAAATAATGGCTGAGCTTAGGCATGTAAGTTAAACACAGCCATAACTTGTTAATCTCAAGCATGTTACATCACCTAACCAATGAGGGGGGCAGCCATGAATAAAAACTCATTAAACCGTGTGGCAATAGAAGTAATGGGAACTGAAAAAGGCAAACATCCAGTTCCTTCCCTGCCTGGCAGTTGGAAGCAAGATTGACTCCTTTGTGGAGTGACTTTAGCAAAATGGAAGATTAAGAGTTCTCCATCTTTTCTTCTCAACAACTAGTAGCTATCCAGAGGCAAGATTACCACCATGAACATCCCAGAACTTGGAGTGAAAATGTGATATCCCTTTGGATTGTAGAACTGAGGAAAAATGCACATTTAGACCGTAAGGGGAAAAATTATCTTTTACTGCAGTGCTCATCCCCAGAGTCTGCACAGCACCACACATGGAGAAGTCCCCTGGACTTCTGTTTCTACAACAGAAAAAGTAAGTTGACCTGGACATTCAGCTTCTTCATCATTCTGGAACCCTTTGTCAAAGACTCACTCTGGTCTTATTCCAAGGGAAGCATTTTAAGTGCTGGCAGGGCTAGCTCATCAGGAGTCATTTTGAAACCAAAAATGGGGTTGGGGCTGACAGCAACTAATTCTCAAACCTTGGTGCCAGGAGTAGCAGAACCCAGTTTAGCATGCCCTCTTGCACTGCAATGACTGTAGTGGTTGAAGATTAAGAGACCAAAACAGTCAGCACAGAATTTCTATATAGCCCTACTCCCCAAAGATGGGTACAGACAAAGCCAGACTACAAAGACTGAAGCCAAAATACCCTACATATTCAATGCACATACATCAATAAGTAGCCACAAAGATTACAATCAGAGAAACATAACATCTCCAACCAGACAAAATGAGATGCCAGTAACTGACCCTAAAGAGATGGAGATGTATGTTCTGCCTGACAGTTCAAAATAGCTGTCTTAAGGAAGCTTGGTGAATTTTAATAAAATATAGAGAAACAATTCAGAAATGTATCAGAGAAATTTGAGAGTTTAAAATAACAAAAACCAAATAAACAAAAATTCTGGAGCTGAAGAATACAACAAATAAAGTGAAAATTGCAATAGAAAGTATCAACAGCAGAATTGATCAAGAAGAAGAAAAAAATCAGTGAGCTTGAAGAGACTCTAATTGAAAATATACAGTCATAGAAGAAAAAAATGAAGAAAGCATACAGAATGTATAGGACAACACTGAAAGGGCAAAGTTTTGTTCACTAGAATTAAAGAGGGAGTAAAGAAACACAAAGAGATAGAAAGCTTATTTTAAAAAATAATAGCAGAAAACTTTTCAAACCTGGGGAAAGATACAGATACAAAAAGGTCAAAAGTCACCAATTAGAAGCAATTCAAATAAGACTACCCCAAGGTGTATTAGAATCAAACTGTTAAAAATCAAAGACAAAGAATCCTGAAATCAGCAAGAGAATAGAAGAAAATAACATGTAAGAAAGTTCCAATATGCCCAACAGTATACTTCTCAGGAGAAAGCTCACAGGCCAGGAAGGAGTGGAATAATGTATTTAAAGTGCTGAAGAAAAAAAAAAATCTCAACTGAAAATACTGTACCCAACAAAGCTATCTTTCAGAAATGAGGGATAAATAAAGACTCTCCCAGGCAACTAAAGCTGAAGGAGTTTATCACCATCCAGACCTACCTGACAAGAAATGCTAGGCAGCATTTCAAACTAAAAGAAAAGCACTCTAATGAGACACATGAAAACGTCCGATGGTATCAAATTCACTGGTACAAGTATGTATGCAGGTGAATTGAAAAATTGAAAATACTCTAATACTACAATCATGGTATGTAAATAACCTATATCTTTTAAGATGAAAATACAAAACAATTAAAAATAATAATAACTACAAAATTGGTTAAGGAATAAGCAATAATTTGTAACTTAGTTGTAATAATGATTTATAAGTTATTTACAAATAGTTGTAAATTATGACATCAAAAATTCAAAATGTATGTGTGAAGGTGGAAATAAAGTGTAGAGTAGGATTTCCATTTGTTGGTTACATTTATTTTTAGCAACCAGAGAAAGTTGTTATCAATTTAATTTAATGTGTTATAACTATAAGATTTTTTTGTAAGCCTCAAGGTAAGCACAAAGCAAAAACCTATGATAAATATATACACTAAAAATAAAAAGCAAGGAATAAAAACATACTACTAGAGAATATCACTTAACCACAGAGAAAGACACTAAGAAGGAAGAAAGGAAAAAAGATCTATGAAACAACTAGAAAACAATGAACAAAATGGCAGTAGTATGCTCTTACAAATTAAAAATTATTTTAAATGTAAATGAATTGAAATTTTTAATTAAAAGAGAGTGACTGATGGTATAAATAACAAGAGCACTCAACTATATGCTGCCTACAAGGGACTCACTTCACTTGTAAGAAAATACATAGACTGAAAGTGAAAAGATGGGAAGATATTCTATGCAAATGAAAATCTAAACAAAGCAGGGGTAGCTATACATATATAACATAAGATAGACTTCAAGTCAAAATCTGTAAAAAGAGAAGAAGTAGGTCATCATATTTATAATAAAGGGGCAAATTCAGCAAAAGGATACAATTGTAAACATATATGCAGCCAACACTGGAGCACTGAAATATATGTGATTATTAATATATTTAAAGGGAGAGATAGACTGCAATACAATAACAGTAGGGGACTTTAAGACCCAGTTTTCAGCAATGGAAAGATCATCTGGACAGAAAATTAATATAGAAAGATTTAATTTAAACTGCATTCTAGACCAAATGAACCTAACAGACATTTACAGAACACTCAATCCAACAGCTGCAGAACACAGAGTCTTCTCAACTGCACACAGAGCATTCTCCAGGATAGATTATATTAAGCTACAAAACAAGTTTTAGAACATTTTAGAAGAAAAAAATTATGTCATGCATCTTTTGGACAACAATGGTATATAACTGAAAATCAATAATAGAACAAATACTAGAAATTTTACAAATATGTGGAAATTAAACAACGTGCTTTTGAACAACCAATGAATCAATGAAGAAGTAAAAAAGGATATTTAAAAAATTCTTAAGACAAATAAAAATGGACATAAAATATGCCAAAATTTATGAAAAACACTAAAAGCAGTTCTAAGAGGGAAGTTTATAATGATACACACCTACATCAAAAAAAGAAAGATTTCAATAAACAACTTACCATTGCACCTCAAGGAACTAGAAAAACAAGAAACAACTAAGCTCATAATTAGCAGAAAAATAGAAATAGCAAAGCTCAGAGTAGAAATAAACAAAATAACATCTCAGAGCAGAAATAAACAAATAACATTTGAGGTCAAAAAAATGAAAAGTTGATATTTTGAGAAAACAAAATTTTCAAAAAATCCTTTAGCTACCCTAAGAAAAATAGAGAGAAGTCCCAGATAAAGCAACTCAGAGATGAAAAAGGAGAGATTACAATACCACAGATACAAAGAATGATAAGACTAATGAACAGTTATACTAAAAAAAAATTGAAAAACTTAGAAGAAATGAATAAATTCCTGGACACATACAACCTGCCAAGACTGAACCATGAATAAAAAGAAAACCTGAACAGCTCAATAATGAGTAACAAGATTAAAGCAGTAATAGAAAGTCTCTGATCAATGAAAAGCCTAGGACTAGATGGCTTCACTCCTGAATACCAATTCTTCTCAAATTATCCCCCCAAATTAGAAGAGTAGGGAATACTTCCAAATAAATTATAGGAAGACCAGCATTACTGTAATGTCAAAACCAGATAAAGACACAACAACAACAACAACAACAAAAACACTATAGGCTAATATCCCAGATAAACGTAAATGCAAAAATTTCAATAAAATACTACAAGCCAAATTAAAAAACACATTAAAAAAAGATTATTTACCCGGCTTTGGTATCAGGATGACGCTGGCCTCATAAAATGAGTTAGGGAGGATTCCCTCTTTTTCTATTGATTGGAATAGTCTCAGAAGGAATGGTACCAGTTCCTCCCTGTACCTCTGGTAGAATTTGGCTGTGAATCCATCTGATCCTGGACTCTCTTTGGTTGGTAAGCTATTGATTATTGCCACAATTTCAGAGCCTGTTATTGGTCTATTCAGAGATTCAACTTCTTCCTGGTTTAGTATTGGGAGGGTGTATGTGTCCAGGAATTTATCCATTTCTTCTAGATTTTCTAGTTTATTTGCGTAGAGTTGTTTGTAATATTCTCTGACGGTAGCTTGTATTTCTGTGGGATCAGTGGTGATATCCCCTTTATCATTTTTTATTGCGTCTATTTGATTCTTCTCTCTTTTCTTCTTTATTAGTCTTGCTAGCAGTCTATCAATTTTGTTGATCCTTTCAAAAAACCAGCTTCTGGATTCATTAATTTTTTAAAGGGATTTTTGTGTCTCTATTTCCTTCAGTTCTGCTCTGATTTTAGTTATTTCTTGCCTTCTGTTAGCTTTTGAATGTGTTTGCTCTTGCTTTTATAGTTCTTTTAATTGTGATGTTAGGATGAACATTGATGCAAAAATCCTCAATAAAATACTGGCAAACCAAATCCAGCAGCACATCAAAAAGCTTATCCACCATGATCAAGTGGGCTTCAGCCCTGGGATGCAAGGTTGGTTCAATATACACAAATGAATAAATGTGATCCAGCATATAAACAGAACCAAAGACAAAAACCACATGATTATCTCAATAGATGCAGAAAAGGCCTTTGAGAAAATTCAACAATGCTTCATGCTAAAAACTCTCAATAAATTAGGTATTGATGGGACGTATCTCAAAATAATAAGAGCTATCTATGACAAACCCATAGCCAATATCGTACTGAATGGGCAAAAAGTGGAAGCATTCCCTTTGAAAACTGGCACAAGACAGGGATGCCCTCTCTCACCACTCCTATTCAACATAGTGTTGGAAGTTCTGGCCAGGGCAATCAGGCAGGAGAAGGAAATAAAGGGTATTCAATTAGGAAAAGAGGAAGTCAAATTGTCCCTGTTTGCAGATGACATGATTGTATATCTAGAAAACCCCATTGTCTCAGCCCAAAATCTCCTTAAGCTGATAAGCAACTTCAGCAAAGTCTCAGGATACAAAATCAATGTGCAAAAATCACAAGTATTCTTATACACCAATAACAGACAAACAGAGAGCCAAATCATGAGTGAACTCCCATTCACAATTGCTTCAAAAAGAATAAAATACCTAGGAATCCAACTTACAAGGGATGTGAAGGACCTCTTCAAGGAGAACTACAAACCACTGCTCAAGGAAATAAAAGAGGATACAAACAAATGGAAGAACATTCCATGCTCATGGGTAGGAAGAATCAATATCGTGAAAATGGCCATACTGCCCAAGGCAATTTATAGATCCAATGCCATCCCCATCAAGCTACCAATGACTTTCTTCACAGAATTGGAAAAAACTACTTTAAAGTTCATATGGAACCAAAAAAGAGCCCACATCACCAAGTCAATCCTAAGCCAAAAGAACAAAGGTGGACACATCACACTACCTGACTTCAAAATATACTACAAGGCTACAGTAACCAAAACAGTATGGTACTGGTACCAAAACAGAGATATACATCAATGGAACAGAACAGAGCCCTCAGAAATAATGCTGTATATCTACAACTATCTGATCTTTGAAAAATTTGAGAAGAACAAGCAATGGGGAAAGGTTTCCCTATTTAATAAATGATGCTGGGGAAACTGGCTAGCCATATGTAGAAAGCTGAAACTGGATCTCTTCCTTACACCTTATATAAAAATTAATTCAAGATGGATTAAAGACTTAAACGTTAGACCTAAAACCATAAAAACCCTAGAAGAAAACCTAGGCATTACCATTCAGGACATAGGCATGGGCAAGGACTTCATGTCTAAAACACCAAAAGCAATGGTAACAAAAGCCAAAATTGACAAATGGGATCTAATTAAACTAAAGAGCTTCTGCACAGCAAAATAAACTACCATTAGAGTGCACAGGCAACCTACAAAATGGGAGAAAATTTTCGCAACCTACTCATCTGACAAAGGGCTAATATCCAGGATCTACAATGAACTCAAACAAATTTACAAGAAAAAAACAAACAACCCCATTAAAAAGTGGGCAAAGGATATGAACAGACACTTCTCAAAAGAAGACATTTATGCAGCCAAAAAACACATGAAAAAATGCTCACCATCACTGGCCATCAGAGAAATGCAAATCAAAACCACAATGAGATACCATCTCATACCAGTTAGAATGGCAATCATTAAAAAGTCAGGAAACAACAGGTGCTGGAGAGGATGTGGCGAAATAGGAACACTTTTACACTGTTGGTGGGACTGTAAACTAGTTCAACCATTGTGGAAGTCAGTGTAGTGATTCCTCAAGGATCTAGAACTAGAAATACCATTTGACCCAGCCATCCCATTATTGGGTATATACCCAAAGGACTATAAATCATGTTGCTATAAAGACACATGCACACGTATGTTTATTGCGGCACTATTCACAGTAGCAGAGACTTGGAACCAACCCAAATGTCCAACAATGATAGACTGGATTAAGAAAATGTGGCACATATACACCATGGAATACTATGCAGCCATAAAAAATGATGAGTTCATGTCCTTTGTAGGGATATGGATGAAATTGGAAATCATCATTCTCAGTAAACTATCGCAAGGACAAAAAACCAAACACCACATATTCTCACTCATAGGTGGGAATTGAACAATGAGAACACAATGAGAACAGAAAGGGGAACATCACAATCTGGGGCCTGTTGTGGGGTGGGGGGAGGGGGGGAGGGATAGCTTTAGGAGATATACCTAATGCTAAATGACGAGTTAATGGGTGCAGCACACCAGCATGGCACATGTATACATATGTAACTAACCTGCACATTGTGCACATGTACCCTAAAACTTAAAGTATAATAATAATAAAATAAAATTAAAAAAAGATTATTTACCATGATTAAATGCCATTCATTTCAGGAATGCAAGGATGGTTCAACATATACCAATCAAAAATTATGATTCCTCACATCATCAGAACCAAAAAAAAAAAAAAACCCCACAAAATCCTTTCAATAGGTGATGAAAAAGCATTGAATGAAATTGAACATCTCTCCATGATAAAAGACCTCAAAAAACTGGGTATAGAAGGAACATTCCTAAAAGCAATGAAGGCCATATATGATAAACCCACAGTTAACTTTATACCAAACAGGAGAAAATTAAAAGCCTTTTCTCTAAGATCTGGGACTAGATAATGAGGCCCGCTTTTGCTTCTGTTCAATATAGTACCAAAATCCTTATCCAAACAATTAGGCAAACAAAAGAAAAAAAAAGGCATCTAAATTGTAAAGGAGAATGTTAGTGTCCCTATTTGCAGATGACATGATCTTATATGTAGGAAACCCTAAAAACCACCAAAACCTGCTAGAACTAATAAATTCAGTAAAGCTCCTGGATTCAGAATCAACGTACAAAAATCAGAAAATTTTCTGAAAAAATTAAGAAAATTCCATTTACAACATCTTCAAAAAATAAAAATAAAATACCTAGAAATAAAATTAAAACTATAAAACAGTTTTGAAAGAAATTGAAAAAGGCACAAATAAAAGGAATAATATTCTGTGTTCAGAGACTGGAAGAATTAATATAGCTAAAACGTCCATACTACCCAAAAATATCAACAGATTTAATGCAATCTCTATCAAAGTCACAATGACATTCTTCACAGAAATAGAAAAAAGTCCTAAAATGTGTAGGGGAACCACAAAAGACCCTTAGTACTCAAAACCATCTTCAACATAAATAACAAAGCTGGAGGCATCATATTGCCTTATGTGAAAGTATACTATATCCATCATGACTTGTCAAAAAAGAATTTTTTTAAAAGTATACAAAGTTATAGTAACCAAACAGCATGATACTGGCATAAAAACAGACATATAGACCAATGGAACTGACCAGAGAGCCCAAATAGAAATCCATGCATTTATATCCAACTCATTTTTGACAAAGATGTCAAGAACATACATTGAGAAAGGAGAGTCTCTTCAATAAATGGTTTTGGGAAAACTGGATATCCACATTCAGAAGAATGAAATTAGACCCTTATCTCTCACCATATTCTCACCATATTAAAAAATCAACTCAAAATGGATTAAAGACTTAAATTTAAGACTTGAAACTATAAAACTATATAACTATAAAACTCGAAACTATAAAACTCCTGGAAGAAAACATTGGGTAAATAAATGCTTTATAACATTGGTGTGGACAGTAATTTTTCAAAGACCTCAAAAGCACAGGCAGCAAATGCAAAAATAGACAAATCATATTACGTCAAATTGTCTCTGAACAGCAAAGGAAACAACAGAGTGAATAGATAACCTACAGAATAAGAGAAGATATTTGCAAATTATATATCTGACAAGAGGTTAATATCCAAAATATCTAAGGAACACAAATAACTCAGTAGCAAAAAATCCAAACAATTTGACTTAAAAATAAGCAAAAAATATGAATAGACACTTCTCCAAAGAAGACATACAAATGGCTAACAGGTAAATGAAAAATGCTTTATGTCGGGGGTGTTCCAAGATGGCCGAATAGGAACAGCTCAGGTCTGCAGCTCCCAGCAGGATCAACGCAGAAGACGAGTGACTTCTGCATTTCCAACTGAGGTACCTGGTTCATCTCATTGGGACGGGTTGGACTGTGGGTGCAGCCCACAGGGGACGAGCTGACACAAGTCAGGGAATCCCCTCACCTGGGAAGCACAAGGGGTCGGGGGATTTCCCTTTCCTAGCCAAAGGAAGCTGTGACAGATTACCTGGAAAAACGGGACACTCCAGCCCAAATACTCTGCTTTTCCCAAGGTCTTAGCAACCAGCTGACAAGGTGATTATCTCCCATGCCTGGCTTGATGGGTCCCACACCCACAGAGCCTTGCTAACTGGTAGCACAGCAGTCTGAGATAGAATTGCAAGGCGGCAGCCTGGCTTGGGGAGGGGCGTCTGCAATTACTGAGACTTGAGTAGGTAAACAAAGCCACCAGGAAGCTCAAACTGGGCAGAACCCACCGCAGCTCAACAAGGCCTACTGCCTCTAGACTCCACCTCTGTGTGCAGGATATAGCTGAACAAAAGGCAGCAGACGGCTTCTGCAGACTTAAACGTCCCTGATTGACAGCAGACAGCGGTTCTCCCAGCACTGCGTTTGAGCTCTGAGAAAGAACAGACTGCCTCCTGAAGTGGGTCCCTGACCCCCACGTAGCCTAACTGGGAGCCACCTCCCAGTAGGGGCTGACAGACACCTTATGTAGGCAGCCGCCCCTCTGGGATGAACGTTCCAGAGGAAGGATCAGGCAGCAATATTTGCTGTTCTACAATATTTGCTGTTCAGCAGCCTCTGCTGGTGATACCCAAGCAAACAGGATGTGGAGTGGACCTCCAGAAAACTCCAACAGACATGCAGCTGAAGCATCTGATTATTAGAAGGAAAACTAACAACAGAAAGGAATAGCATCAACATCAACAAAAAGGACATCCACACCAAAAACCCATCTGTGGGTCACCATCATCAAAGACCAAAGGTAGATAAAACCACAAAGATGGGGATAAATCAGAGCAGAAAAGCTGAAATTTCTAAAAATCAGAGTGCCTCTTCTCCTCCAAAGGATCGCAGCTCCTCGCCAGCAACAGAACAAAGCTGGGCGGAGAATGACTTTGACAAATTGACAGAAGTAGGCTTCAGAAGGTTGGTATTAACAGACTTCTCTGAGCTAAAGAAAGATGTTCAAACCCATTGAAAGAAAGCTAAAAACCTTGAAAAAAAGATTAGACGAATGACTAACTAGAGTAAACAGTGTAGAGAAGACCTTAAATGACCTGATGGAGCTGAAAACCATGGCACAAGAACTTCGTGACGCATGCAGAAGCTTCAATAGCTGATTCAATCAAGCGGAAGAAAGGGTATCGGTGATTGAAGATCAAATTAATGAAATAAGGTAAGAAGACAAGGCTAGAGAGAAAAGAGTAAAAAGAAATGAACAAAGCCTCCAAGAAATTTGGGACTATATAAAAAGACCAAATGTACATTTGATTGGTGTACCTGAAAGTGATGGGGAGAATGGAACCAAGTGGGAAAACACTCTTCAGGATATTATCCAGGAGAACTTCCCCAACCTAGCAAGGCCAGCCAACATTCAAATTCAGGAAATACAGAGAACAACACAGAGATAATCCTCAAGAAGAGCAACCCCAAGACACATAATTGTCAGATTTGCCAGTGTTGAAATGAATGAAAAAGTGTTAAGGGCTGCCAGAGGGAAAGGTCAAGTTACCCACAAAGGGAAGCCCATTAGACTAACAGCAGATCTCTCAGCAGAAACCCTACAAGCCAGAAGAGAGTGGGGGCCAATATTCAACATCCTAAAAGAAAAGAATTTTCAACCCAGAATTTCATATCCAGCCAAACTAAGCTTCATAAGTGAAGGAGAAATAAAATCCTTTACAGATAAGCAAATGCTGAGAGATTTTGTCACCATCAGGCCTGCCTTACAAGAGTTCCTGAAGGAAACACTAAACATGGAAAGAAACAACCAGTACCAGTCACTGCAAAAACATCGCAAATCTTAAAGACCATCGTTGCTATTAAGAAACTGCATCAATTAATGGGCAAAATAACCAGCTAACATCATAATGACAGCATCAAATTCACACATAAGAATATTAACTTTAAATGTAAATGGGCTACATGCCCCAATTAAAAGACACAGACTGGCAAATTGGATAGAGTCAAGACCCATCAGTGTGCTGTATTCAGGAGACCCATCTCACATGCAGAGATGTACATAGGCTCAAAACACAGGGATGGAGGAAGATCTACCAAGCAAATGGAAAGCAAGAAAAAGCAGGGGTTGCAATCCTAGTCTTTGGTAAAACAGACTTTAAACCAACAAAGATCAAAAGAGACAAAGAAGGCCACTACATAATGGTAAAGGAAGCAATTCAACAAGAAGAGCTAACTATCTTAAATATATAGGTACCAAATACAGGAGCACCCAGATTCATAAAGCAAGTCCTTAGAGACCCACAAAGAGACTTGGACTCCCACACAATAATAACGGGAGATTTTAACACCCCACTGTCAGTATTAGGCAGATCAATGAGACAGAAGGTTAACAAGGATATCCAGGACCTGAACTCAGCTCTGCACCAAGCTGACCTAATAGACATCTACAGAACTCTCCACCCCAAATCAACGGAATATATATTCTTCTCAGCACCACAGCACCATATTCTAAAATTGACCACATACTTGGAAGTACAGCACTCCTCAGCAAATGTAAAAGAACAGAAATCACAACAAACTCTCTCTCAGACCACTGTGCAATCAAATTAGAAATCAAGAATAAGGAACTCACTCAAAACTGCACAACTATATGGAAACAGAACAACTTGCTGCTGAATGACTACTGGGTATATAACAAAATGAAGGCAGAAATAAAGATGTTCTTTGAGACCAGTGAGAACAAAGACACAATGTACCAGAATCTCTGGGACACATTTAAAGCAGGGAAATTTTTAGCACTAAATGCCCACGAGAGAAAGCACGAAAGATCTAAAATCGACACCCTAACATCACAATTAAAAGATCTAGAGAAGCAAGAGCAAACAAATTCAAAAGCTAGCAGAAGGCAAGAAATAACTAAGATCAGAGTAGAACTGAAAGAAATAGAGACATAAAAAACCCTTCAAAAAATCAATGAATCCAGGAGCTGGATTTTTGAAATGATCAACAAAATTGATAGACTGCTAGCAAGATTAATATGAAACAAAAGAGAGAAGAATCAAATAGATGCAATAAAAAAAATGATAAAGGGGATATCACCACCGATCCCACAGAAATACAAACTACCATCAGATAATACTATAAACACTTCTATGCAAATAAACTAGAAAATCTAGAAAAATGGATAAATTCCTGGACACATACACCCTCCCAAGAGTAAACCAGAAAGAAGTTGAATCTCTGAATAGACCAATAACAGCCTCTGAAATTGAGGCAATAATTCATAACCTACCAACTAAAACAAGTCCAGGACCAGATGGATTCACAGCCGAATTCTACCAGAGGTACAAAGAGGAGCTGGTACCATTCCTTCTGAAACTATTCCAATTAATAGAAAAAGAGGGAATCCTCTCTAACACATTTTATGAGGCCAGCATCGTCCTGATACCAAAGCCTGGCAGAGACACAACAAAAAAACAGAATTTTAGACCAATATCACTGATGAACATCTATGCAAAAATCCTCAATAAAATGCTGGCAAACTGAATCCAGCAGCACATCAAAAATCTTATCCACCGCGATCAAGTCGGCTTCATCTCTGGGATGCAAGTCTGGTTCAACATATGCAAATCAATAAGTGTAATCCATCACATAAACAGAACCAATGACAAAAACCACATGATTATCTCAATAGATGCAGAAAAGGCCTTTGACAAAATTCAACAGGGCTTCATGCTAAAAACTCTCAAAAACTAGGTATTGATGGAAAATATCTCAAAATAATAAGAGCTATTTATGACAAACCCACAGCCAATATCATACTGAATGGGCAAAAAACTGGAAGCATTCCCTTTGAAAACTGGCACAAGACAAGAATGCCCTCTCTCACCACTCCTATTCAACATAGCGTTGGAAGTTCTGGCCAGGGCAATCAGGCAGGAGAAGGAAATAAAGGGCATTCAATTAGGAAAAGAGGAAGTCAAATTGTCCCTGTTTGCAGATGACATGATTGTATATCTAGAAAACCCCATTGTCTCAGCCCAAAATCTCCTTAAGCTGATAAGCAACTTCAGCAAATCTCAGGATACAAAATCAATGTGCAAAAATCACAGCATTTGTATACACCATTAACAGACAAACAGAGAGCCAGATGATGAGTGAACTCCCATTCACAATTGCTACAAAGAGAATAAAATACCTAGGAATCCAACTTACAAGGGATATGAAGGACCTCTTCAAGGAGAACTTCAAACCACTGCTCAACAAAATAAAAGAGGACACAAATAAATGGAAGAATATTCCACGCTTATAGATAGGAAGAATCAATATTGTGAAAATGGCCATACTGCCCAAAGTAATTTATAGACTCAACGCCATTCCCATCAAGCTACCAATGACTTTCTTCACAGAATTGGAAAAAACTACTTTACAGTTCATATGGAACCAAAAAAGAGCCCTCATTGCCAAGACAATCCTAAGCAAAGAGAACAAAGCTGGAGGCATCACGCTACCTGACTTTAAACTATACTACAAGGCTACAGTAACCAAAACAGCATGGTACTGGTACCTAAACAGATACATAGACCAGTGGAACAGAACAGAGACCTCAGAAATAACACCACACTTCTACAACCATCTGATTTTTGACAAACCTTGCAAGAACAAGAAATGGGGAAAGGATTCCCTATTTAATAAATGGTCCGGGGAAAATTGGCTAGCGATATGTAGAAAGCTGAAACTGGATCCCTTTCTTACACCTTATACAAAAATTAATTCGAGATGAATTAAAGACTTAAATATTAGATCTAACACCATAAAAAACCCTAGAATAAAACCTAGGCAGTACCATTCAGGACACAGGCATGGACAAGGACTTCGTGTCTAAAACACCGAAAGCAATGGCAACAAAAGCCAAAATTGACAAAGGTGATCTAATTAAACTAAACAGCTTCTACATGGCAAAAGAAACTACCATCAGAGTGAACAGGCAACCTACAGAATGGGAGAAAATTTTTGCAATCTACCCATCTGACAAAGGGCTAATATCCAGAATCTACAAGAAACTCAAACAAATTTACAAGAGAAAAAACCCATCAAAAAGTGGGCAAAGCATATGAAGAGATACATCTCAAAAGAAGACTTCTCTGCAGCCAACAGACACATGAAAAAATGCTCATCATCACTGGTCATCAGACAAATGCAAATCAAAACCACAATGAGATACCATCTCATACCAGTTAGAATGGCAATCATTAAAAAGTCAGGAAACAACAGATGCTGGAGAGGATGTGGAGAAATGGGAATGCTTTTACACTGTTGGTGGGAGTGTAAATTAGTTCAACCATTGTGGAAGACAGTGTGGCAATTCCTCAAGGATCTAGAACTAGAATTACCATTTGACTCAGCAATCCCATTACTGGGTATACACCCAAAGGATTATAAATCATTCTACTCTAAAGAGACATGCACACATATGTTTATTGCAGCACTATTCACAATAGCAAAGACTTGGAACCAACCCAAATGTCCATCAATGATAGACTGGATTAAGAAAATGTGGCACATCTATACCGTGGAATACTATGCAGCCATGAAAAAGGATGAGTTCATGTCCTTTGCAGGGACATGGATGAAGCTGGAAACCATCATTCTCAGCAAACTATCACAGGGATAGAAAACCAAACACCACATGTTCTCACTCATAGGTGGGAACTGAACAATGAGATCACTTGGATGCAGGGCAGGGAACATCACACACCAGGGCCTGTCCTGGGGTAGGGGGCAGGGGTGGGATAGCATTAGCAGAAATACCTAATGTAAATGATGAGTTGATGGGTGCAGCAAACCAACACGGCACATATACACCTATGTATCAAGCCTGCACATTGTGCACATGTACTCTAGAACTTAAAGTATAATAATAATAATAAAAATTTTAAAAATGCTCTATGTCATTAATCTTCATGGAAATGCAATTCAAAATCACAATGAGATATCACCTTACTCCAGTTAGAATGGCTACTATCAAAAAGACAATCAATAAAAGTGTTGGTGAGGATGTAGAGAAAAGAAAGCCCTTACACATTGTTGGTGGGAATGTAAATTAAGACAGACATTATGGAAAAAAAATATGGAGATTCCTTTAAAAATTAAAAATAGAACTACCATATGATCCAACAATCCCACTCCTGGGTGTATATCTAAAGGAAATCAAATTAGTATGTTGGCAGATATCTGCACTCCTTGGTTTACTGCAGCAATATTCATAATAGCCAACCCAAGTGTCTATCAACTAATGAATTGATTTTAAAAATGTGGTATATACACACAATGGGATACATTCATCCCCAAAAAGGAATGAAATCCTGCCTTTCATGACAACATGATATACCTGGAGGACATTATGTTAAGTTAAATTAACCAGGCACAGTAAGACAAATACTGCATGATCTCACTCATATGTGGAATCTGAAAAAGTTAATCTCATAGAAGTACAGAATGGTGGCTACCAGAGGCTTGGGCGGTTACAGGTGAGTGATGAAGAGGGAGATGTTGACCGAATGACACATACTTTTAGTTACATAACAGGAATAAATTTCAAGAGATCTATTGTACAGCAAGGTTACTATAGTTAATAACAATATATTGTATTCTTGAAAAATGTAAAGAGAGTGGATGTTAAGCACTGTCACCCCCAAAAATGATAATGATGTGAGGTAAAGAATCTGTGAATTAGATTTAACCATTCCACAATGTATGGAAAAACATCAAAACATAATTTTACATGTGATAAAACATACAATGTTTTCTCTCAATTAAACAAAAAGATTGACTCCTCTAAAATAAATAAGTACCCCACTTTATTGGAAAACCTGGGTTGAAACCTTAAGACTATCGAATGGGTGCATTTCTAGCTTTGTTTTTATTCCACCCTCTTAAAAAAAAAAAGCCAAAAGTAATGCCCCAATATCAAAACCATTTACAATACCAGTGCATTCAAGATCTTTCAATAAGTTATTTTAGTATGTGTTTTATTTTTATGTCCTATATTTCTGGCATTTAATCTATGATTCTATTAAATTCTTTTGGAAGTTAGCAGGATACAAAATGCATGTATATCTACTCAATAATTTAGATGACTTTTCCACCTTATAATTTTGTAATTTTTCTGTAAGTCAAACAGGAAGTCAGTGACAGAGACAAAAATCAGATTTTAGGCCTCATAAAACTGTGCATTTCATGTCTTTTCCTGGTCTTTCTCATGGAATTCCAAGTCTGTATTACATTCAGCAATTCCTGTTGACCACAAAACATTTTATTATGCCACCAACAGGAAGCTATTTAGAGATATACAGCATCTTTATTTATGCAACATAACACCTATGGCAATAGAAACCAGGTATATTGTTGACAATAAATCTTACAGCCTTGATTTCATAATTTCAGAGGCATGAAGAAAAATGGGTTTTTATATAGTTTTTAATGTGGAGACCACTTAAATGGTCCCTTAAGTTTAGGGATGTTAGTCTTCTAGGATCAGACTATTCTAAATGAAATGTCTCCATACAAAAGAGTACAGCCATGTCTATACATTGCAATAAAATTGTTCATTGAATAGTTGATTCCAAACTCAGACCACCTCATTGAGAGACTGGGGTTCAGTTGTTGACATATGACAATTCATGTGACCCTCCAGACCTCTGGAATGAGTAGATTGTCTAAAATGTTAATCTTTGCTGTTGTTATCTAGTTGTAATCTATAAGGATGAGGCAAAGGTGTATTGTGCTTTAAGTAATAATTAAATAAATACATGTATATTTTGGCATTAATGCAAACTAAACCACGAGAAGAATACAGTCTTAAAACTGCATTTGGTCACTGGGAACAGTGGCTCACACCTGTAATCCCAGCACTTTGGGAGGCTGAGGCAGGCCAATCACCTGAGGTTGGGAGTTCGAGACCAGCCTGACCAACATGGAGAAACCCCGCTTCTACTAAAAATATAAAATTAGCCAGGCATGGTGGCACGTGCCTGTAATCCCGGCTACTCAGGAGGCTGAGGCAGGAGAATAGTTTGAACCCGGGAGGTGGAGGTTGCAGTGAGCCAAGATCACGCCATTGCACTCCAGCCTGGGCACCAAGAGCAAAACTCTGTCTCAAAAACAAAACAAAACAAACAAACACAAACAAAACAAAAACAAAAACAAAAAAACTGCATTTGGTCCATGAGTTCTGAATAGAAAGAGATGACTGGATTATAAGATAAAATAGTTAAATAAGTAGTGAAAAAAGAGAGAAAGGAAAAGCATCTAGTGTCCTCCAGAGAAACACCGCTATTAATAAAGAACAATAAGCTCAAGACCTAAATCAGTTACATCCCTTGAGGCAGTATTCCAATTCTGATTCTATTTTTTTCCCCAGGTTTCTGGAACCTACCTTCATTTCTAATTTAATGTCTCCTACATGATATCTGCCAGTTTTTAATACACTTTATTAATTACCTCTTTTAATCTCCCTTTTCAAAGTCCCAGAAAAATGAATTGTTACTTAAATAATCGGAAGCCATAATCAGTGACAGCAGCAATCAGCAGACTTTTTAGTTGTGTCCTAAATACAGAAATCAAGAGAAAATCAACTCAGTGATTTTTTTTCAAGAAAGCAAACTAATTCCTAAAATAAGTTAAATGGAAGGAAATTATGCAAACAATAGCTGGGATAATGCTGTAATCCTCCAAAATTACTCATTTGTAAATAATTGATTTTAACCCTTTTGAGCATCTGCTCAATGGTGAATCTAGAGTTGAGTTCTGAAGGCTACAAACTATGGCCTCTGTCCAATGGCCTTCTGTGTAGTGGGTGAAATAGACCTATAAATCATTAAAGAAAAGTAATAATATAATGGCATTTTCACCTTTTAACCAATTGTGCTAGTGACAATTCACTGGAAAAATAGAGCAACTAGTTTTTCAATCAACTACTTGTTTGACTAATATGACCTATGAAGTCAATAAAAATCATTCAGCAAGCAGGTATCTATATAAATGTACCAAAACTGTAGTAACATCTACTATGCTAAATTTGCAACTATTATCAAACTTATCAAATCAGACTTATTCAGTAAATATTAATTAGTAGGAGCCTAATAAACATATGCTGAGTAATTGAATGAAATAATAAATTTCATTCCTTCTTAAATTTTAATGTACATGTAGATCACATGTTAACCTTATAATAATGCAGATTCTGATTTAGTTAGTGTGGAAGAAGCGTTTGAGATTCTGAATTTCTAACAAGCTCCTAGAAGATGGCAGTGTTACTGGTTCATGAATCTTACCTTTAGTAAAATAATCATCCTCAATAAACAATAATGATATTACAGAAAGCCACTAAAAATCATAACTCCTGTAAGATAGTCTCTTTCTGTCATTTATCAGCACTGAGACCTTTAAAAAGTTACTTACTTTCTTTGAATCTTACTTTCCTCTCCTTTTAAGTAGAGGTAATGATACCTACCTCACTGATTATGTAAATTAAATGATATGATACATATAAAAGTATAACTTGAAAGTATTTTACATACATAATCTCTTTTATTTTTGTAGGAATACTTATTTTTAGTCCTTAAGGAGAGGCAATTGAGAAAGAGAAGATCTTCCTTCTCCTATGAATGCATAATAACTTTATTGGCAAACTAATGGAAATGAATATTCTAAGATGGGAAACCTTAATAAAGTGCTTCTTAGGACATACAGGCATACACATGTGTAGCATGTTTCTTAACTATCAAAGCAGTTAAATATGCTACCCTATTTTTGCATGGTTTATAACAGGATACTCTTTCATTGTACCATATTAATTATTATTTATAAGGTCATTGTAAAAAATGAGATGCTCTTTTATAACAAAGGCCCACAGGCAATATTTTATGGAAAGTACACCAAGAGGTTTGAAATTGATGATTTATAGATCAGGAAATAACAGTTAATCAACTTTCCTGGCTTCCCAAGCCACGCTGGGCAGTTTTGTATCACCTTTTGGTTGTCAGCTCTTTTTGTATTAATGGTGATACCTTTGCAGGCTGAAACAGGATATGCTCACTCTTGGAGGTGCTGTCTGGAAATTCTCCCAGCATGACTGGGAGGCCAGGAGCAAACTGTTGCTGCCCATCCATCATGATACAGAAGCATCATGTATTCTGACCTTAAACACAGTCCATTGCATTCATTGTCATAGGACAGAGAATCTAACTGTATTTCCACACACCATTGCCCACCAAACACTATAAGATGTCACATTCACTTGGGAACACTTAGACATTCATTTTTGCATTTACAGCAGGTCAGGTATTGGACTCTATGGGATTTGAAAAGCATGGAAAGTGATTTCAAAGAAGAGCTGTAAATAATTTAAAGATTTGAGAAACAGGATGTGTGAGAATAGTGAGAGACCAGGAAACTTCAAGGGCATCTTAACACACTTTCTTACTTGAAACCTTTGGAATCAGCCCCCACACCCTGCATCAGATATAATCTTTGTTTTGTTTACATTCTTCTAACAATTTGCTTGTATTGGTCTTATAACTTGTATTTAAATCTATCCTAAGTTGTCTGATACTTCATTTTATCTAGCAGGTTTTTTAGTTACATGTCTTACTCAACCTGGTTATCTCCGCTAGTGCTAAAGATTAGTGATTTCTTTCAATAAGTGTTTGTTGGATAAATGGATGGCAAATGAATAAACCACATATGCATACATACAATTAATAAAGGTTTAGAAATTCCTAAGCATAAAGGACATAGAAACTGTGGAGGAGACTAGAACTCAGTGTTGTCTACAAATAGTCTCAGGTTATCATAATATCACCAGGATTTGGAATAACACTAAGAGATTCAGAACGTTTTCTGAGAAAAGTCTAAAATTTACTTGCAAGGACACTTCTTTGCAGGCAAGTTGATATGCTTCATTAAGTCAAGAATACATAGTTATCTCTGTATTTACCACAACAAAACATCTTTGCCCACTCTTGTCTGGTATATCTGAGCATATTGCTCTTCTCTTAGACAGAACTGTATTATCTTGTCTTCAGGTTATCCAAGGAAATCCATTTTATTTTATTTTATTTTATTTTTTTAGATACAGGGTCTTGCTCTGACACCCAGGCTGGAAAGTAGCAGCACTATCATATCTCACTGTAACCTTGAACTCCTGGACTCAAGCACTCCTCCCACCTCAGCCTTCTGAGTAGCTAGGACTACAGGTGTGTGCCACCACATGCAGTGAATTTTTTAAATTTTTGTAGTGATGAGGTCTCGCTGTGTTATCCTGGCTGGTCTTGAAATCCTGGTCTTAAGTGATCTTTCCGCATTGGCCTCCCAAATTACTGAGATAATGTGAGCCACTGTGCCCAGGCCCAGAATCTAGTCTTTATGTGCCACCAGTTGGTTATCATTGCTTCTCTGAAACAGCTGATGTTTGAGAGACATGGGTCAACTATTCCTATGTCCATCTTCCTGCCACACTAAACTAGTCTTTTAACAGTCTCCAAGGATCTCATTATTGCTAAGCTTAAAGGACACCCCTTAGACTTTACATAACTTTACTTACCTGCCACAATTAACCTAGTTGACTACTCTCTCCTTAAAAGTCTCTCTTTACTTTCATCCTGCATTACCACACTCTCCTCTCCTCAGTCTGCTTTTCCTTTAGCATGCTTTAACTGTTGGTGATTCCCAGAGGTTTGGCTTCCCTTCTTCTCTTTTTTCTTAATCTACACACTCCTGTGGGTTCCCTCATCTTTTTTCAAAGTTTAATGTTTCATTTATCTTGCCTTCACATGTAGTGTTATCTCCAGATTTAGTCAACACTGCATTTTCAGTTTCTAAAATGCAGGTAGTACACGCATCAGGAAAACCCAATGTCAAGGGCTGAAGAATAAACAATACATGTGTGCATGATTCTGTGTCTGGAAATTGTATATCCATCTTGTAGCTCAGGTTAGAAATCCATACAGATTTGCTTGATGATCTGCCCACTCCCTCCCGTAACCTGTTCTTTCCTTTACCTTTCCTAGCTGCTTCCTGAACTTTGCCTAGACTCCACTCTTGGGAAAACTGACAAGCACTTCTTTCTGGCCAGGGAGACTTGTCATCAAGTTTTTCACAAATTTTTCACCATTCAAAAAGAGTTTATGCTTTACTAAAAGAATTCACCTTGGGGCCCTTTCAAATAACCTATTCTCCAAGGAAATTTAATATCGGATTCAACTAACCAAAATTAGATTTACTCGCATTTGGAAAACATCTATAGATCTGCCTCACTTCGTGTAGCTGGTGTGTTCCTGAAATATGTGCAAATCAGACCCTTGTAAGTTGAATGATAGTTCAAATGTATTAATCAATTTGCTAAAGAAAGCAAAAATACTTTTATAACATAAATAATAAGCATCTGATATATCTGTTGTATAAATTTGAATTTTATGCATTACACGTATTTATTTTTGGAGACATACTCATGCATACTAGTGTACAAGAGAAGGGACAAGGAAAGATTAACACTTGTTCAGAGACTGCCAGGTGTCAGGCATCATGCCAGGAACTGTGGCCTCGCACTATCTGAGTACTTAGGGTTTTGTTTTGTTTTCGTTTGTGTGTGATAGTTTATAGGTCGGAAAAGCACTATTTGTTCCACAGTCCCAGGATTTTTGCTCTCCCAATCCAAATTCATTTAATTTGAGTTTCCTTTTTCCCTATTGCCATTACCAGGCAGATTCCTGGGTGTGTATATTCCTTCTTTCCATTCATTTCCTTCCCATTCCCTCCTCATTTTCTAAGATAGCACAAAAGGGACAAATCTCACAGCCAAGCTTATTTTCTACTAGGTGGGTTATTGGTACAAAAATAACTACTAAATATATACAATATATAATGTAATATATGCATGTGTGTGTATATACATATATACATATGTTTAGGGAGAGAGAGAGATTGACAGATAGAGAGAAAGTTAGCTTTCTCTGCCTTGGATAATGTAGCTTAGTTGAAATGATAGTAACCACGTAAGGCCACCTGGGAACTGATTCCTTCCATGTCTGTGGCTACATGCAAGCCTCTCTGCTCCCATCTGGTTGCTGGGACAGCCTCTTAATTCCACTTGTCACAGAGAAGGGAGCAGTCCATGGGCCACAGCTACTACTTCTCTGACAAGAGTTTCTTAACTAGAAGCATAATGAGCTATGAGAGACTCTGGAGAGTACTTAGCTGCATTAACACTTAGAGATGAACTCAGGCTTCAACCTCCACTTCTGATCACCTTCCAACCATCTCCTTCCACCCCCTACTCCCCCATCTCCCACACTCGTATGAGCCAACAGATATGAACAGCAGCACTTGTGTTAACAACTTGGCAGCTGCAGGAAGCCAGACCCCAGGAAGCAACAAGATATTTCCCTTAGGGAGGCCCGGGCTTGGGGCTTCCCTTCCTTTCCTATGTCAACAAAGCCTTCGTTTCCTAACTTGCAAGCCACAAAATAAGCCAAATTCTTGTTTTTTCACCTTCTCCTCTGGATGGAAAGGGCCCTATTAGACAGAATTTATATAGCTAGGCTCTGTTGATTTTACTCTTATTAATGGCTCCAACTCATAAGAAAATTGGGGATTTTATAAAAAAATGTATTTTAAAAATAAACAAATACATGAACTCTAGTTCTTATTCCAGAATAGACAGAGCAAACAAAATACTCTGAGTAGGAGTGCTGCATCATGTTTCACACAGGATAAGGAGTTCTCAGTCAATCACACAGCAGCTACATAAATGTTTATACTCTATGTGGAGGAGAGTTAGCAACCCCACAGATGAAGTAAATGACTGTTTATTTCTCAAGTAATGGGAATGCTGAAATAAAATAAGCCTATCAAAATTTTCAGGAATGTAAAGCTAAAAGCTTCATCACTTTTTTTGTTCTTTAAGAAAAAAGAGAGTAGAAGGATGAATTAATAGGAAAGATAGTCCATATTGTGGACTACCTTTAGTCCACATTAAAGATCCATATACACAACTGAACACAGACATAAACAGACACACAGAGGGCTGGTCCCTGTATCTTCTAGTTCTGCCTATTTGAACCATTGAAAAACTTTTGCCTCATGCAGAGCCTCAACTTGATATTGTGGCCTTATTCATCACTGTAATCATACATAAATCCATTGCTCTAGCCAAATGGCTCCTGAACACCTTGCACATTTCATATTGACATTTAATCATGTCATTGCCCTCAACTTCCTCCCACTTATACACATTCTCCATCCAAACACATTTCCTTCTTGAAGCCCTGTCTTTCAATGTTCAGTGAATATTTAAAGTTTGGGCAGGGGCAAAAACTTACCCCTGTCATTATTTTTGTTAAGGAAGATGGTAAATTAACCTCAATGGCATAAATTTCTGAATAGCAGGTAAAGGAATTGTAGGCAGAATTTTAGTTACCAGAGTGAGGGTTGACAAGGTCAAGAAGATGGAATGTCATTGCAAAAATTTTATGTTTGTAGATAGGTGTGTTGTTTTATGTTTATAGATAGGTGTGTTTTTTTACATTTGTAGATAGGTGTGTTGTTTTATGTTTGTAGATAGGTGTGTCATTTTATATAGGGCTTTTTGAAAAACAGAATTTTAAGCAGAGTATGCAGCAAGACTAAAAATGGCAAGGCGGGAGCATGCTTGGTGTGCCTGAGGAATAGCAAAGACGCCAGAGTGTGCTGAAGGGAGTGAATAAATAGTGATGTACAAAATCAGAGAATTAGTTAGGGTCTATATCCTGTAGGAGCTTGTAGAGACTTTAGTTTTTATTCTGAATGAGATCAGAAGCCATTGAAGTGTTCTGATCAGTGGAACAAAATAACACTACATGTTTGAAAATCTCAGAGTAAAATTGGATTTGTTGTCAGCTTTAGTTCATGACACACTACCATCATTGCTATGTGCATGGCATTAGTTTATATTATTATTTTTCCATTTATTATTTATTTTTTATTTTTAATTTTTGGAGACAGGGTCTCACTCTTTCACTCAGGCTGGGGCACAGTGGCACCATCTTGGCTCACTGTAACCTCTACCTCCCAGGCTCAAGGTATTCCCCTACCTCAGGCTTCCAAGTAGCTGGGACTACAGGTGCATGCCACCATGCCTGGCTAATTTTTTGTAGTTTTTTATAGAGATGGGAGTTTGGCTATGTTTCCCAGGCTGGTCTGGTAGTCCTGGGATCAAGCAATCTGCCTGACTCAGCCTCCCAAAATGCTCAGATTACAGGAGTGAGCCACCATGCCCAGCCTATTTTATATTATTTTTAAGAAGCAAAAACTGAATACACTTAAACTTACCATTCATCTTAACAAAAGAGAGATGAGAGAAAATGCCTGCTTTAAATGTTTCATACATGGAAAATTACCAACCCTATGCAAGTGTGCTTCTAATGTAGAAAGTCTAGAGAGAAAAGAATAATTGAATAGGCCTAAACCTTAGCAAGTGAATGAGCCTGGTGAAAACAAATAACAATTGCTGTCCATTTCTAAGAAATATTCACATATGAGCAAGTCAAAAAGCCAAAATGAGGCTACAAATATCATCATTAAGATAAATCTACTTCTATTTATTTACATCCTGAGGATGAAGATTGTGAAATTAGCTTGCATTAGAGCAGGAATAAAATCTTGGAGCAAAGCCTATTTCCTGATTTTCTTTTGGGTCTGTGTATCTCAATAGATATGCCTATTTTCACTTATAAGCTTTTTTATGCATTTATTCAGTTTACAACATGTAGAGAGGCAAAGGAGAAGTGCAAAAAACTCATAATTATACAATCTAGTTTTAAAGTAATTTTGCTCAAAGGATCTTCCTGATCCTGCTCCTACTTTTCTCATTGCATTTATTCCTCATTATACCTGCCTCAAATACCCTAAATCATAATATACTATGTAGGGTTTCTATGAAAAGCGATCTGTTTTATTACACCTTCATGAATTGCTCATCTGCTCCTCATGTAAGAAATCTCCTTCTTGTCCTTTCCCTTCCAATCACTCTATTAAGCTTTTTCTAATCTCTTTTCCCAGCAAAAAATATATATATGACCAATGATTCCTTTGTGTTTTTGCTATACTCTATAATACCTCAATTTAATCACTTGTTATTTTATTTTATATATGTATTTATATGATTTTATTATTGGAAGATAAAGACTTAGAAGAAAACATTTGAGGCATCTTTGCAACTTTGGTGCTTGGCAGGTAGTAAATATACACTTTTATTAATATAACTGTGATTTCAATTTGAGCCAAAGCTATGTTTTTTGTAGGATTAAAATATTTCTGCCCTGATAGAGTGATTCATACCTGTAATCCTAGCACTTTGGGAGGCTGAGGTGGGAGGATGGCTCGAGTCAGGTAAATTGAGGCTTCGGTGAATTGTGATCATGCCACTGCACTCCAGCCTGGGTGACAGAAAACAAGACCTTGTCTCAAAAAATATATATACTTTTAGGTATGTTTCAAGGACTGATTGGGGCAGGTCATTCAAGAGTCTATTCTAATGAGGAGGAAAATGGCTCTTGCCTTAATATTTATTGTGAGGCATAAAAGGGCTGAAGAAAATGAGGTTTATCTAAAAATTAAGCTTCATTCACTAGAGTGTGTATTCAATTTGCACAGAATAATTAAGTCACTCTGATGATTGTTTGGCTAGGCCCCAGGTTCTTATGTGATGGCCAGGAAAATGAGCTATAAGTATATATGAAATAGGCTACATGTGGTGAAGGGATCAGTATGCAACTTCTCTATTTTAAGATGTGTATTATAGAATCCAACACAAGAGTAGAATACATGTATTCTTTTCTCTTGATCAGAAAAGAATGTACAACATCAAGTCATTGTCAGTGCTACCAGTATTAGTTAGTATATTTGCTCAGTGAAATATTGGTAGAAATCCAGAGGATCTGGTGCCAGAACTTATGCTTTGCAAGAACAACAAAGCAACTTTACAGGGGTTCTGGGCATTCATAGGTATCAGCCACAAACCTCACTATAGGAATTCCAAGCTAGAATATGAGAAAAATGAAAAACAAAAGCCACTTTGTGATAAACTACAGCTGTATGTAACAGAGATGTGTTAATGAGCACACATCTAGTATTTATTATTTATGCATTTTTATGTTTACATTGTATTTATGTTTCTCTTTTGCCAGTTGGTCCAATGCTGGGCAATAAAGTAAAAAGCAATAAAAAGTAATAAATTATATGAACATATAAAAAGAATCTTACATTGTAAACACTCAATGTAAAGAGTATTACATTGTGTGGATAGAACCATCACAGTTTTGTTTATCCATTCACCAGCTGATGGACATTTGGTTATTTTCCCCCAGTTTCTGGTAAATGTCAATAGCGCTATCTAGATGTTTAGATATTCACATACAGGTTTTTGTATAAATGTGTATCTTTATTTCTCTTGAGTAAATAAATAGCTGAGAGATTGATGAGTTGTATAGTAGTTTATATTTAACTTTATTAGAAACTGCCGAAGTGTTTTCCTAAGTGGCTGAACTATTTTGCGTTTCCACTAGTAGTGTATGAAACTTTCAGATGCCCTATATCCACTTCAGCATTCAATAGGAGGTACTGGGATATAATTGTGGTTTTAATATGAAATTGCCTAATAAATAATGTTGATCACCTTTTCATTTGTTTATTTGTTAACTGTATCTAATTTTAGTGAAGCATCTATTCAAATCATTTGCTTATTTTTAATGAATTATTTTATTATTGAATTTTAAGAGCCCCTTACATAATTTTATCAGATGTATAATTTGCAATTATTTTCCATGCTGTGAATTATTTTTTCTTCCCAGTGTCTTTCAGATTTATTTTTACTTGAGGAAGCCTTTTTTATCTTCTGATTCATGATTTTTGTGTCTAAGATTTTGCCTGATGCAACGTCACAATGACTCTTCTGTGTGCTTCTAGAACTTTCATAGGTTTAGGTTTTATATTTAGATCTATGATCCATTTTGAGATAATTTTGGTTGAGGTATGGTTCAATATCCTTTTTATTCTTTTTTTGGGTATAGATGTATAATTATTCCACACTAATAATGAAAAAGATTATTTATTTTTCATTAAATTCCTTTGGTACCTTTCTAAGTAATCATTTGACCATAGACATATGGGTCTATTTCTAGAATCTCTATTCTGCCCCATTGATTCATATGTTTATTATTTCAGCTATGCTAACTGCCTCGATTAATAGAAATTTATAAGTATTGCAAACAGGTAGTGTGACTTGTCAAACTTTAGTCTTCTCTTTCAAACTTGTCTTTGCTATTCTGGGTCCTTAGTATTTCCATATAAATTTTAGGAACAGCTTGTCATTTTCTACAATAAAATCTGCTAGTGTTTATATTAGAATTGCATTGAAACTATAGATTCAATATTAGGAGAGTTATTATCTTCACAAATTGAGTCTTCTAAACCATGAATATGGAATCTTTATTTATTTCAATTTTCAATTGCTCTCAGCAATTATCTATAATTTTTTGTGTACCTTGTGCTTCTTCTGTTAAAATTATTTCCAAGTATTTTATTTTTTGAAATTATTATTAAAGAAAGTGTTTTCTTAGTTTCATTTTCTAATTATTGACTCATAATACATAGAAATATAATTAATTTTTTGTACAATGATCTTGTATCCTGCAAACTTGTTAAACTCTTCTATCAGCTTTTTTGCAGATGCCACCAGATTTGATACTACAGATCATCATGTAATCTAGATAAGAAGATAGTTTGATTTCTTCCTATTCAATATATTCAATATGGATAGCTATTATTTCTTTTTCTGTTTTATTTCATCAGCTAAAAACTCCAATATAATGTTGAAGATAAACAGTGACAATGAACATCTTTGTCTTGTTCCTGATCTTAGACAGAATGTATTCAGGCATTTACCATTAAGTATGACACAGCTGGAATTTTTTGAATTTTTTCGTAGATGCCTTTTTATTCTGGTTGAGGCAGATCTTTTCTCTAACTATTTTTGTTGAGAGCTTCTATCATAAATGAGGAGTAAATTTTGTCAAACAGGTTTTCTTCTGTGTCTACTGAGATTATCATGTGGTTTTTGTTTTTATTCTATAATTTAGTGAATTACATTAATCAATTTTCAAATTATATACAACCATGCATTCCTGGAATAAATCCCATTTGATCATGTTGTAGAATTATTTTTTATGTTCTTGTATTCAGTTCAATATTTTGTAAATAATATTTGTGTCTATGTTCATGAAGAAGTTTATTCTGTACATTAAAAAATTGTAAGGTAATCACTGCCTTTGAGTAATACCTGCTTCATCAAATGAATTTGGAAGTGTTTCCTTCTCTTTTATTTTTGAAGAAAGTTTGTGTAGAATTGGACTTTTTCTTTAAATATTTGAAATAATTCACCAGTGAAGCCATCTAAGCCTAGGTTTTAGATTCTGGTAAGATTTTAAATTACTAATTCACTTTATTTCCTTATAATAGATCTACCCAGATTTTCTATTACTTTAGGTCATTTTTGTAATTTGTAGATTTCTTGGAATTTGTCCATTTCATCTAAGTTGTCTGATTTGTTGGCACAAACTTGTTCCTATTCTTTTATGATTCTTTTAATTTTTGTAGGTATTGTAGTAATATCCCTTCTTTGATTCCCAAATTTGGTAATTTTTTTCTTCTCTTATTTTATCTTGGTCAGCCTAAAGTTTTATCAATTCTTTTTTATCTTTCTCTAGGCATAACTTTTGGTTTCATTTATTTTCTATATTGTTTTTCTCTTTTCTATTTCATTGATTTCCACTCTGATCTTTATTATTTCCTTTTTTCTACTTACTTTACATTTAACTTGTTCTTATTTTGTTTCAAATGGTGAACACATTTATTTGAAAACTTTTTGCTTCTTAATATTGTGTTTAAAGCAACAGATTTTCCTCTAAGCACAACTTTAGCTGTATCCCATACATTTTAATATGTTGTGATTTTGCTTTCATTCAATGCAAAATATTTTCTAATTTCTGATATGATTTTTTCTTTGATCCTTGGGTTATTTAGAAATGTATTGTTTAATTTCCAAATATTTAGGACTATCTTTATTTATATATATATATATATTTTATTATACTTTGAGTTCTAGGGTACATGTGCACAATGTGCAGGTTTGTTACATAGGTATACATGTGCCATGTTGGTGTGCTGCACCCATTAACTCGTCATTTACATTAGGTATATCTCCTAATGCTATCCCTCCCCCCTGCCCCCACCCCACTACAGGCCCCGGTATGTGATGTTCCCCTTCCTGTGTCCAAGTGTTCTCATTTTTCAATTCCCACCTGTGAGTGAGAACATGCGGTGTTTGGTTTTTTGTCTTTGCAATAGTTTGCTGAGAATGATGGTGTCCAGCTTCATCCATGTCCCTACAAAGGACATGAACTCATCATTTTTCATGGCTGCTTAGTATTCCATGGTGTATATGTGCCACATTTTCTTAATCCAGTCTATCATTGATGGACATTTGGGTTGGTTCCAAGTCTTTGCTATTATGAATAGTGCCTCAATAAACATACGTGTGCATGTGTCTTTATGGCAGCATGATTTATAATCCTTTGGGTATATACCCAGTAATGGGATGGCTGGGTCAAATGGTATTTCTAGTTCTAGATCCTTGAGGAATCGCCACACTGTCTTCCACCATGATTGAACTAGTTTACAGTCCCACCAACAGTGTAAAAGTGTTCCTATTTCTCCACATCCTCTCCAGCACCTGTTGTTTCCTGACTTTTTAATGATCAGGGCTATCTTTAATTTTATTTCTGTTATTGGTTTTTAATTCAATTGCATTGTGGTTTGGTTTGGGGGCATACTTGAAATAATTTCTTTTTTTTTGTTTTTGAGACAGAGTCTTGTTCTGTCACCCAGGCTGGAGTGCAGTGGTGCGATCTTGGCTCAGTGCAAGCTCCGCCTCCAGGGTTCACACCATTCTCTTGCCTCAGCTTCCTGAGTAGCTGGGACTACAGGGGCCTGCCACCATGCCCGGCTAATTTTTTTGTATTTTTAGTAGAGACGGGGTTTCACTGTGTTAGCCAGGATGGTCTCAATCTCCTGACCTCATGATCTGCCCGCCTAGGCCTCCCAAAGTGCTGGGATTACAGGCAGGAGCCACGGCACCTGGCATACCTGAAATAATTTCAATCCTTTGTGTTTATTGGGATTTATTTTCTTTCATAGCATATGGTTTATCCTGAAGAATATTTTATGTGTTCTTAAAAAGGATGTGAATTCTTTTGTAGTTGGGTGGTATGTTCTGTCAATGCCAGTTAGGTTATATTTGTTATAGTGTTGTATAAATCTTCTATAACTTCGCTAATTTTTATTCTAGCTGTTTTATCAATTATAGAAAGTGAGATACTGATATTTTCAATTTTAATTTTTGAGTTGTTTATTTTTCCTTTCAATTCTGTCATTTTTTTCTTTGTATATTTTACTCTTTATTGTTTGTTGTTTGTATATTTATAATTGTTTTCTAATTTATTGATCCTTTTACCACTATGGTATATTCTTCTTTGTCTCTAGAAATATTTCTTATCTTTTTGTCTATTTTGTCTGATATTAGATAGCCACTTTAGCTCTCTCATGGTTACTGTTTGCATGATATATCTATTTCTGTATTTTTACTTTCAAGCTGTGTCTTGAATTTAAAGTTTGTCTCTGGTAAACAGCATAAGTTGAACCTTGTTTCTTAAAATTGAGTTTAACTTGATTGAGGAAGTCTATAACTCATTTAATGTAATTATTGAAATGCTGGATTTCTATCTGCCATTTTTATTTGTTTCTAATATGTCTTGTAACTTTTAAATCCCTCTGCTCCTCCTTCACCGTGTTCATGTCAAACAAAAATTTTTAGTGTACCATTTTAATTCTTCTGTTAATTTTCTAATTATATTTTTGAGTTATTACCTGAAAGGTTGCTCTTGGAATTATAATATGTACCTTATCACACTCAATTTCAGGTAAAGAAATAACTTAATTGCACCAAAATATAGCTATTTTACTTAAATATACCTACATTTTCCACCTCTTCTGCCATTTTTTACAAATGCATATTACATCTGTATGTTATAAACTCAACAATATGGTGTTATAATTAAGGCATTGTGCAATTTTTTTCTTTTAAAGAAAGAGAATAAACGACAAAAGACATTTATTCAGATTGGGTCATTTCCTCACTAGTCAAGTTCCTCGCTAGTCCTCTGACCTGGCATTCATCCCAATAGGATCTAATCTGTGACCTAAGGCTGGCAGGGCTGTGAGCTTTCTCTGTTCATTTCCCTCTGCATTTTCTACTTTTACAGGAAATACCTCCAAAAAAGTGTAGCTCCCTTCCACAGAAAAGCTGCTGGTTTCATGGCCAGCCCTGATCTTGTGAAACACCTTGCCAACTGAGCTGGAGAGGGCACAGAAGTAGCTTCAAGTAAGTAAACCACATACTCTCACTGTTTCTATCCAAAGTGCAGCAGTTTTCCTTGAATAAGCACTTTTCAGTTTGTTGGTTGCCTTTGGTCAATTTCAGGAGCTCTTAATAAATTCTTCTGATATTATTTTCAGTGTTATTTTGTTCATTTGAGGCAGGATTTGCAGAGCGCCTCCCCCCATCACAGAGAAGTCCCGTCTATACTGTTTTTCTTGCTATATAACATAGGCTAGGACAGTTGAATAGGAATAATATAAGTCAACATTCTTCTCCCATCCTTGTTCTCAGAAGAAAATCTTTTAACATTTTGTCATAAAACAATGTATAGCATAGTTTCCTGTTGTTGTTGATATACCTTATTAAAGAAGTTCACTTCTTTTCCTAGCTGAATATTTTTGTCATGATTAGATTGGATGTTAAATTCATCAAGTATTTTTCCCACAAATACTATGATCACGTGGTTTTTCTCCTTTATTAATATCATGAGTTATACAGATTGTTTTCCAAATGTTAAGCCAACCTTGTATTGCTGGAATAAACCCAGTTTGGTTATGTTATAGTATCCTGTGGTGCATATAATTGTGTTTAAATTATGAACATTTTGTTTAATATTTCTGTATCCATGTTTATGAGTGAAGTGAGCTTGTAGTTTTAATATTGTGTAATATCCATGCCAGGCTTTGGTTTCAAAATTATTCTGGCTTCATAAAACTGGTTGGCAATTTTTTCTTGTTTTTCCTACTTTCTGGAAAATCTTATATAAGATAGAGGTTATATTTTGCTTAATTGTTTAGTGAAATTCATTGCTGAAGCCAATTAGACCTCAAGTTTTCTTTAGAGACAGATACATTTGAAATTATAGATTCAATTATTTAAATATAAGAGGCTTCTCAGATTTTCTTCTGTCTGTTTTAGAAAGTTTGTTTCTCTAGGAATGTCTATTGCATTTACATTTTCAAATGTATTGCCACAAAGTTGTTCATAATTGTCTTTCATTATATTTTAAGGTCTATAGGATTTGCAGTAATATCTAACTTTGAATTCTTGGTATTGGTCATTTTTCTTTTCTATCTCTACTTTCTTCACCAGTTTTGACAACAGCTTTAATTTAATTCAAATTTTTTAGTCTTTTCAAAAAAATTTTCAAAAAAATAAAGATGATTGATCATCTTTATTGTATGTTTATATTTCTATTTTATGAATTTTATATCTTTAATGTGTCCTGTCTCCAGGTTTAATTTGATTTTTTTCTTGCTTTTTCTTCTAATTTTTAGGATGGATGCAGGGAAAAGATGATTTTTAGTTCTCGTGACAGGCATAAACTTCATTCTGAGCATAGTTTTAGTTGCATCCAAGCTTTGCTATATGATAGTAGCATTTGGGTCAACTTGTTTTAAAATTCTTATTGTAATTCTTTTTTTTTTTTAGTCTCATTGTTGTCCTGAAGTTTAATTTCTTAATTTCTAAGCATAGCAATTTTCCAGTTATATTTTTGTTGTGAAATTTCTAACATGATGCTACTGTGTTTGGAATGTGGACTTTAAATGATTTCGCTTCTTTGATATTTGCTGAACCTTGCTTAAGGTCTAGCATATATCATTTTTATAAATATTCTGTAATTGTTGGTTATAATGTTCTCTAAATATCTAATAAGTCATTTTCTTAATTGTATTATAAAAATCTTCTATGCCCTACTATTTTAGATAGTAGATCTATCTGTGAGAGAGGTATGCTAAAATATTTGTCATTATAGACTTACTTATATTTATTCTTCATTTCTGACAATATTTGCTTTGAGAGTATTTTAGGAGCATACAAGTTAGAATTGTATTATATTCGTAGGATTAAACTTGTATTATTATGACATATCTATCTTTAGTAATGCTTTGTTCCTTAAAGTTTGCTGTGTCTGATATTAGTAAATCTACACTAGGTATTGTTTAGTTGGTGTTTCAAAGTTCTATTCTTCTTTAGGTATTTTTACTTTAAACTTTCCTCTATTATTGTATTTAAAATGTATGTCTCGAAAATAGCATGTAGTTTAGTTTATTTTTTTCATTTTGACCACCTTTATCTTTTTATTAGGGCATTTAATTCATTTATATTTAATATAGTTAATGTTTTGATGTAAGCACTTAAAAATTTTTGTTTCCCCTCACTATTAACTTGTTAATTCTACATTCTTTTTTTCTTAAAGGATCTCTTTTGATTGTTTCTCTTTTCTCAATGAAACAGGAGTAAGGTCATCAACAGAGAGTAAAACTTAAAGGAGGGGATAATGGAGGTTTAAAGGAGAGAAGAAAAGGCTAACAACAGCATCTATAAGAATAGAAATGTAAAGAGTCGAAGGAAATGCTGTAGGGACTACAAGGTAGCATAAGGGTTCTCCTAGTATGACACGTCATAAAATTAGAATGAGATTATTAACTTAGACATATGCTTTTCTCCATATATTTAGCTGCATAAAGGCAGGTGTGGAGTAGGCAGAGTTCCTAATTTAATCATTGTTGAAGTTTGTCTGGCAGGATGTGATAAATGTAGAGCTGACAAAGGGAGTTAACAGTGTTATACAAATCTGTGATTATAATGATGACCCAGAGTATCTAAACTGGGTTAGGAGGGAGCTGAGGTGATAAGGTACTAAAACTTTAGTAAACTAAAAAAAAACTAATTGGGTTAGGAGGCACATACATTTTAAATACAAAGATAGAGGAAAGCTGAAAATCCAAAGTTTTTGTTTCTTTGTTTTGTTTTGTTTTTGTATTAGTGAAATTAAAAAAATTGGTAAGAGTCAGCGTACTAAAGTAAATAAGATGGAAAGTTAGAAGCTACTGGTTGGAGGCTGGTCACAGTGGCTCACACCTGTAATCCCAGCACTTTGGGAGGCTGAGGTGGGCGGATCACAAGGTCAGGAGACCGAGACCATCTTGGCTAAGACAGTGAAACCCTGTCTCTACTAAAAATACAAAAAATTGTCTGGGCGCAGTGGTGGGCACCTGTAGTCCCAGCTACTCCGGAGGCTAAGGCAGGAGAATGGTGTGAACCTGGAAGGCAGAGCTTGCAGTGAGCCGAGATATCACCATTGCAATCTGGCCTGGGTGACAGAGCGAGACTCCATCTAAAAAAAAAAAAGAAGAAGAAGAAGCTACTGGTTGGAGAGTTGTATAGCTAAAATTGAGAGTATACTGGGTGTTCAGTTATTGATAATGACCGGGTGTAGGGGTGAGCATGTGTGTCAGTGGCTGAAGAAGAGTGGGAGACAAGATCATTGGAAGTGAGAAGCTTAAGAAACTGAGCAGGAAGTAAATGGAAAGAATTGACTATGGAATCATTGTCATAAAAATTATGACAGAAGATGATTAAGAAAATCTCTCTTTTCTCGTATTATTTTTGTAAATACCCACTGACCTCTGAATTGTCCTCTCCAATTCACAGAAATTTTTATTTACTGGAATTTTAAAAGGTGAGAATAGAGTAGAATGTTAGATTAACAGCTCCCATAATCAAACACAGCCAATAACAATAATAGTACTGTGAAAGAAAGCAAAGCTCTCTCTTATACTGTCAAAGGGTATCAAAATACTTTCCAGACCCTCTGACACTCATCTGGGCTTCAAGGATAGCGACACATTATTATTCACATTTTACAGATGAGAAAATATGTAAGTTTATTTTTATTAATTATAAAAATAGATAAATTGCCCCAATTTTAATTAGAAGAAATGAATGATGTTTCTTTTCAATATTGTTTCAAACTTTAAGTTAGTATGAGACATCTTAGGTTGTCAGAGTTCTTCACTATTTTCTTTTTTAAGATTAGAGATTGTGTATAAAGATAATTAAGTTTTGACACTGCTTCTTTAAAAGGTTAGAATCCTGAGTAGTTTTTTAAAAACTAGCATCAGTGTGTTTTATGATACTACTTTTTCTCTATTATCAAATTCACTATTTATAATTAAATTTTTTCCCATACCCTGACACTTATGTTCTGGCCTATGTCTGATGCAGTAGAGTTTTCTCTTAAATGGCACAAAGGAATAAGGGTTATATGTGTCAGAGGCGTTTGAACCAGAGCAACTCCATCTTGAGTAGGAGCTGGGTAAAATGAGGCTGAGACCTACTGGGCTGCATTCACAGATGGTTAGGCATTCTAAGTCACAGGATGAGACAAGAGGTCGACACAAGAGACAGGTGGTAATGACCTTGCTGATAAAACAGGTTGCAGTAAAGAAACCAGCTAACACCCACCAAAATCAAGATGGCAATGAGAGTGACCTCTGGTCATCCTCACTGCTGCACTCCCACCAGCACCATGACAGTTTACAAATGCCATGGCAACACCAGGAATTTACCCTATATGGTCTAAAAAGGGGAGGCATGAATAATCCACCTCTTGTTTAGCATATCATCAAGAAATAACCATAAAAATGGGCAATCAGCAGCCCTCAGGGCTGCTCTGTCTGTGGAGTAGCCATTCTTTTATTCCTTTACTTTCTTAAACTTGCTTTCACTTTATGGACTCACCCTGAGTTCTTTCTTGTGCAACATCCAAAAACCCTTTCTTGGGGTCTGGATGGGGACCCCTTTCCTGTAACATATGTGTTATAGGTTTAATTTTTTCCCTCCATTTTAAAATCAAGGTCCTCTTAGGATCATTCACAAATCACAGAAAGCTACTGAGTTTGGGTGCTTACCATGGGAGGGTTATGATATTTGATATTTTTGCACAAACATCTGATTCCTTTAGCTGCTGATTTTCCATTGGTAATACCATACAAAGGAAATATTGGCAAGAACAAAGGCAGTGGAGAGATAAAAGTTGGCATAAGAGGTCCATGATTGACCTCAACCAGTTAAGGAAGGAAAAGCCCTTCAGTAAGGTGGCATTGGGTGATGAAGTCAGACTGTGCTCTGTTACTAAGAGATTGGGTGGCCTTTGGCTGATATTTTAATTCTTCAGAGCTTCAGTTTCTCAGCTGGAGAATGAAGATAACAAAGTTCATCCTGACTACTGCAGAGGAACATGACCATATGAGAGCACTAAAAATATGTGACTAATGTTAATTATGTAATTTCTAATCTCTATTTAGAATCTGATGCCCTCTGAGGGCACCCAGTCTGACACCCTCCACTTGCATATCTGTGCTAGAACAGGGTTAAGGGGTGGCAGGAATGCTAGGTCTGGGATTCCCGCCCTATTCAGCCAGCCACCCGACACAATGTATGGCATAAAATTGACCCCCTAGCACATGAATGAATGACTAAATTACAGACTGAACTGAATTCATTAATTAATATTTCCTCCTTTACATTAACATTTAGGCCCTTTTAGCATCAGGGCCACATTTTCCTGAACAATAGTAACTTAGGGGGTTGGTGGGGTTGGGAGGATAGATGTTTATCCTGAAGAATTTGGAATGCTTTGTCAGTGGATGCTACTCTACTGACATGTTCCTGATCATTTTCTTCCAGCAATGTGGTTGGATAACCAGTATTCAATCTTCCTCTACATATAGTGGTGTCACCTTCTGGGACTCCACCTTTTGGGACTTCCATTTCTGAAATCCCCTGTGTCCTTCTAACATTTGTAGTGGCCTCTTGAAGTTTCTGAGTTTATCTAGAGATTAGTATTTAGCTTATGACTTCCTGTGAATGTCACATGAGTTGATCCGTGGAAAGTTTTTCCCCTGACCTGAATGAAGTTCAGTCATTTTGGGGGGTGCTTATGTCATTTCAATTTTTCCTTCTACCCTTCCCCTGTTATTCCTGTCTTCCTGTTCCTTAGGAAATACCTCTGTTTTCCTCTCCTTCCTAGAACCAAGTCCCCAATCTGCCTCACTCTCTCTAGTAATTCAGCCGGTCAGTAATGGACAATGCCCTGCTATCCTCTGCTCTGCTCCCTTGAGAGTCACTCTTTCTGAAGCTTAAACTGGGACCAGGCTCTTCTTTACAAAGAGCAAAATGAAGCACTACAAAGCTTTGCCCACAGGAGTGTGAGATCTTGACTGAGTGATTTGACCAGCGCTGGGAGACTGAGGGTATGACAAAAGTTTTGTGTGGATTGGTGCTGGCTTATATCCATGAGGCTTGCAGGAAGGTGGCAGGGCAAGACTCTCTTCTTCTCAGTCACAGCTCAAACCCTTTATCCCATACACATGAACTTCATTGAGCTAAAGCTGTACAACAGTGCAGGCTTGATTTATGAGGGCTGTGTTTTTTCCCTGATCCTGGCTGGCACAGTGCTGGAGGATTTGCTTTTATGTGTCCACGTCAAGGGGCAAGTGGTGGCCAGCTGTTGGAAACTGGTTTAAGAAAATAATAAAAATAAAAATACCCATGGACTATCCCGTCATTCCAGGTTTCTGGTACCTGCCATCAGCCTTGGAATAAATAGGGGAGACTTTCCCCCCTTGCAATGAGATATATCTATGACAAATACATTTATATTGTGCTGGAATGATTGCTAAGTACCAAGGGGTCTTGCCTGAGAGCTAGTTAATAATTGAGATTGTTAGAATAATAACTCACATGATCCTCACCCCTTTTATTCCTGAAGTGTCCCTAAGTACCACATATACAATATACTCCCAAGTTTTGTGCTTCTGCTAATTCAGCCACCTCTGGAGTGGAATTTTACATCTGAGAGAGACTGGTTGCAGGGAGCAGCAGAACCCTACAAGCTCAGCACCCAGGTGAGGGGTTAGGGTGGGGCAGAAGCCAATGGCAGAAAAAAATACGACTGCTTGTTTTGGGGTAGTGGCACTTCACACACACGAGCAATTTTGTAGAGAGGGAAGAGGAAAAGTATCTTCAGTGACCATGATTCTCTAAATATCCTGAGTCACAGATCCTTTGTAAGCATTTTGTGTACTGTATATGTAATACATGTCAACCACCTCAGGGCATTCATTTACTTATTTGTTTGTAATTTTTTGTTGCATACTTTCAGAAAAGATGTAAGAAGGCTAGCAAGGAAATACGAGAAGAAGAAGTCAGTTAACATTTAAATAGAAGATAAAAATCACGTAGACTGAGGGGAAAAATAAACATATCAAAACCATAAGTCAGCATTTGTCAACCAGTTAATCAGTCAATTAGTTCTGCTGGATTTAATAGGTATTTCTTGAAAAGGCTGTTCTATAATCAAACAAATTAAGCAACTCTGGGTGGAAAAAAGCTAAACAGGTTTTTTTATTGTTAAATTCCCCAGATCCTTTAATTTACTAAAAAGTACTATAAACTTCCAAGAGAGGGATACCACTACATGCTCTTTTCATAGGGTTATGTAGAACAGACTTTGTAAAAAATGGACCTATGCCAGAATGATTTCTGAAACAGAGCAGCAAATGTAATTTGCCTTGAGAATCAGCCAAAAAGGACATTTATGATGAAGGAATATTTTCTGTCTCTTTTAGGTAAGAATGAACCGTATTCTTGAAAATAAATTTGCAAGTGATTTACTTAATAATCCTGTATTCAAAGGGTATTAAATACTATGACGAGTCATGAGCAGTGACTTCCCAGAAAAGGGCAGGCATTCTTTCATTATGGCCATTTCTTGTTTCGACCCATAGCACAACATGAAAAACATTGGAGAAGGCATCACATTTTTAAAAATACAAGTTCCTAGAAAGTAGATGAAGCACAGGACACTTAGTAAAATTTGAATTTTAGATAACCAGCAAATTTTTAGTATAAGTGTGTGCAAATGTTAGGTAGGACATACTTATACTAGTACAAAATTACTCAATCTTTAGTTGACATTCAAATTTAACTGGGTGCCCTGAATTTTTACTTGTGAAATCTGGCAACTCTACTAAAAGGTCAAGGTCTGAGTCGTACATTTGAATCATCCAGAAGCCTCGACTATGCACTAATCACCATGCTTGGCATTGCCATAGCCTTCTTTCAATTGACCCACTCTGATTAGAGCGTCTACAAGTTGTCAAATCTGTCTTCACCTGCCCCACCACCAAATCTCAGGAGTTCAAGCCCTTATCTCTGCAATTCCCTGGGGAAATCGTCTTGCTAACCCGTTGGAATAGTCTCAATTTGGCACTCAGCCTTTCAGTTCCCTGGAGTTGATGGTCAGCCTTAGGAGGGAACATTTATTTGGTTGTCATGGGCCAACGAAGATTTTGCCTGCTAGGCAAGCACCCCAATATTTATCGCGCCATCTCTGTAGTATATTACTAGCCTTTTATGCCTTCTCTGTCACTTGTTGAAATGAGAACGCAAGGTCTCTGGGCCTCTGCAGCCCTTTCTCTTACATTAACTTAAGTCACACCAGATGTGGGCCTTTACTGCTTAGGAAGACTAATTGATTTCACCAATCACAATACTGCTATTGTTTTAATTTTTTAAAACACAAATAAACACTGTGGTGGGTTTTCTCCTCTTTCTCTCTCATTCCTCTTGCCAAAAAAGCCAAAGGTTATTCAACTAAGGCATCCAAAAGTGTAACAAAAATCCATAGATGGAGTACAACTACTGCTAAAGAAGAAGAAAAGAAAAGAAAAGAAAGAAAGGAGGAGGATAAAGAGTTGTAGGGAAGAGGGAAGGAAGCCTCTTGGGGCCCAGCAGTAACTCTGATGGATGACTGGGGTGTGTAAGCCGTTATTTGTTATGTGAGTGCAGGGAGATGGCAGCTGAGCTGAGCAATACACCTGCTGGGCTCCAAGAAGCCAAAACAGCTGCATGCATTGATTTAGAAGCTTGCTACTTGGGGCTCCAGGAACGAATCAAGCGACAGCTCATAAAAAAAGAGGGTTTTATGATTTCCCCCCCCTTTCTATAAGCAAACAGCCACATCATATGTTTTCCTAACACGGTCATAACTCAAAATTAAATCCCAGCCCAAGGTGTCAGCCTGGTGCCATGTCAGGATTGTAACGGCTTGTTTTAGAGGTCGCCATGGAGACGATGGAGGAAGGATGGGGGGTTGGTTCAGGGAAGTGAGAGGGGGTACAAGGTTCTCTTTGCCTCAGTGTGGCTTAGGCACTTAAGAACAATTAGTTGTTTTATGTTAAAGAAGTGAGAAAACGAGCTGAGAAAACTAGCAGTATTTTGTTGGTGATTTTATGCTATTGTAATTACAGCCTCTAATTTATATTGTTAAAATGCAAAGTACAGTCCCACTAGGAAACCATTCCTGCCAATGTGAGTAAAGAGCAAGAGTAGTGGGGCATGTTCTTACAGGCAGCCTGTATCCTTGCACATTCCAGAACTGCTCCTTGATTACATGGCATGGAGCCAAAATACTTAAATGTTGAATGAAAGTGTTTAGTTGTGAAATAAAAAAAAGAGAAGCCACTCAAAAGGGCTATCAAATTACCCCAAAGCTCCAGCATGAATATGCACAATCAAGGTACTATGGATCAGTGATGTCAGACATATGTAGGCCAATGCTCACCCCAAAGGTGATAACAGTCTGCATGGAGATAAGGAGGCAGGTAAGCTCTTCTGTAGGGTTTGATAGTACCATGGATTTTATTCATTTGTTAAGTAGTTACTGAGCATTAGATAGTTTAAATGCTGTAATGAATGTTCATAAATGAACAAAAGAAAGAAAGAAGTAGTAAATGAAAAACATATATGTATACCTCATTGCTAATAGTTCTGTAACAGCATACTCATGGCAAAGGAGAATAATATATTGCTATTCTTTTAAAGCCCAAATCACCAAGTCTCTGCACAATCCCCAAGGTTCAGACTTAAGGTTAGGCTCTTACCTTCACATTTTTGCTTGCAGAGAAGTCATCCATCAACCTGCTCTCTGCCATTACTCAGAAGACAACATATCTCCAGCCAACCTCTCCCCTGAATTCTCATTCTGCATCTCCAGCTGCCTAGACTACATTTCACTTAAATTTCACATTACCTTTTGAACTAATTATGCCCCTCTTCTTCCCTAAATCAATTTTTCCCTTCCTTTTCTGCTCTTAATTCTAGCACCATACTAGTCTTAGTCACTAAAGCTCAAAACATCAGTCACAACTTTGGTTTTCCTTCCTAGATTCAAACTGACAGCACATACTCTCCCTCCTTCTTTTACAATGTCTCTCACGTCTATAACTTCCTTCTTATCTCTGCTGTCATTTTGAATTTCAGGACCATATTACCTCATCCATCAGCTAGCTGCAGCCATAGCTTCCCATTCCATCTTTCTTCCTCTAGCCTCCAAGCCCCAATTCCATCCAGCACTTAGAGCATATCCAATCCCTTGCTGCAGGGCAAATTTATCCAATTATGACATGCTTTCAAAAGCTCCCTCACTTCCCACAGAATAAAATACAGATATTGTCATCTAACATTTAAGGAACAATCTTGGCTTTATACTTCCATTTCCTACTGGTAACATATAAATTACTGAATTAGCAAAAGTAATATTAAATAATCATAAAATTATCAAATAGATGTATTCATCACTTTACTGAGCAGTTAACATATTTCTCCTCTTCTTAGAGCATTCTTATGAGGTAGATACTGTTATTATTTCTTTTCAAATGATGAAATTGCGGCACAATGAAGCTATGTCTCTTGCCTAAGGTCACCAATGGGAGAAGTGGAATTTGACCTAGGCAGTGGGCCCTAATCCCAGAGGCTCCTAAAAACTACCACCACTTCTTTGCATCAGCTTACTCTGGCCCCCCAAAACATCTTATGCTTTGCTACCTCACTGTCTTTGCTTGCCTACTTCCCTTTTCCAGATTGCCTCCTTGCCTCTTCTCTTTAACATAATCTCAAACACTTCGAAGTTCTACCCATCTATCTATTTCACTAAACACAAGTGCCCAAAGGGACTTCTTTTCCTAGAATTTCTATACTACCTACTACCTTCATCACTCCTTGACATTCAGATTTTATTAGAAATCCATGTGTCTTGCTATTCCTTGGATTTGTCTCATTACCTGGCACAGTAATTTGTACAGGCACTTACTCAATGAATAGCTAATTGAAAGAATGAAAAACTCTGAAATGAACTATACTAGAGTCACCTTTCATACCTCATTCTTCATCCCCTTTTCTTGGTATTAAAACTTGATTTTGCACCACTATACTTTTTTTAAAAAAATTATCTTTTAACTTTCTTTGGACTATGGTATAACACCCCTTGACAGTCTCTGGACACTTTCGTATGTCCCAGAGACTAGGGAATGTTGAGCAGGTCAACAGGAAGGCATTGGGTCTAACAGATGTAGATGACATCAGACATTGGGGTCATTCCATGAGGCCATTCCATAGTACTTCCTTTCCTTTGGCAGCCTTTAAGATGGCAGCTATCTCCTACTTCCTCAGTTAGTCTTGAGTCCTCTGCCACCTCACCAATGCTTTTACTAGAGTAGCCTCCTTGGGCAGTGCCTCATGATCCAAACTTAGCCTCGGCTGGACTCAGGTTAACTTCCGTCAACTTGTAACATATTTCCTTGGGAGTCTTCCTGGCTACTGCCCTGTGAGAAAGCAATCCAAATAAGAAGTACTTTTATTTTAATGACTTAAAGTTCTACCTCCTCCAAGAATGTCAAGAATTTTTTTAAGTGTGTCTGACAGTCTTTCAGCCTAAAGGAATGAATTTCTAATGGTGTAACATTTAGGCTTTCTGGGGGAAGGGCAATCAGGGAGTTCTGGGTATAGCAGGGAGAACATCATGACGTACTTGAATCATAACTCCTCTGCCACATGAAAGACTGGCCCTGAGCCTGGCCTCAGGCACCACAGGCAAATATGTCATGCAAAATGAGAGTTGCTAGAATCCAAAGGGTTAGTACCAACACTTTGTCAACTATTAAGTGCTTTCCCTACAGAAGAATAGCTGCTTGCTGCTTCTAGCATACTGGAAATTCTGGTTTTTGAAATAGGTTCTCTGACATGCAAATTATACCAGTGATAGGTAGGAAAAGCATTTCAGGGAAGCTAAGGAGGGATACTGGATTTTAGCAGTGGTAGGAGAGAGATAGTTTGTCAAATCCCTCAACATAAAGTATCTAATAATCTACCATCATATGTTAAGGTGGTGATCCTGGGAGAGATGACATACTATGCCAGCACCAGTAAAAAATAAGAAAGAAAGAAATGAAGTTTGTTTACCAAAGATTAAAAAAAGTTATCTATCTGTTTACTGAACGATTAGAGATAAAATGGGTCAGTTTTAATTTTTGTTAAGGATGGGAGGAAAAGGCATGACAGTTTTGTTTTGTATGAGGTATTGCCAGGGTGCCTGATTCTAAGGGGGTACAATCTATGGGGAGAAGTAAAGAAAACAGCACAGAAAAGCAAAAAGCCTGGAGAAACACACACACACACAAGGGATTAATATTCAGAATCTACAACGAACTCAAACAAATCAGTAAGAAAAAACAAACAGTCTCATCAAAAAGTTGGCTAAGGCATGAAGAGACAATTCCCAAAAAAAGATACACAAATGGCCAACAAACATAGGAAAAAATGCTCAACATCACTCATGATCAAAGAAATGCAAATCAAAACTACAATGTGATGCCACCTTATTCCTGCAAGAATGTCCATAATCAAAAAATCAAAAAAACTGTAGATGTTGGTATAGATGTGGTGATCAGGGAACGCTTCTACATTGCTGGTGGGAATGTAAACTAGTATAACCACTATGGAAAACAGTGTGGAGATTCCTTAAAGAACTGAAAGTAGAACTACCATTTGATCCAGCAATCCCACTACTGGGTATCTATCCAGAGGAAAAGGAGTCATTATACGAAAAGGATACTTGCACACGCATGTTTATAGCAGCACAATTCACAATTGCAAAATGGTGGAACCAACCCAAATGTCCATCAATCAACGAGTGCATAAAGAAACTGTAGTATATATAGATGATGGAATACTACTTAGCCATAAAAAAGAATGAATTAACAGCATTTGCAGTGACCTGAATGAGATTGGAGACTATTATTCTAAATGAAGTAACTCAGGAACAGAAAACCAAACATCATATGTTCTCACTGATATGTGAGAGCTAAGCTATGAGGACCAAATTCATAAGAATGATACAATGGACTTTGGGGACTTGGGGGGAAGGATTGAAGGGGAGTGAGAGACAAAAGACTACAAATAGGGTGCTGTGTATACTGCTCAGGTTATGTGTGCACCAAAAGCTCACAAACCACCAGTAAAGAACTTACTCATGTAACAAAATACCACCTGTACCCTGATAACCTATGGAAAAATAAAAAAATAAAATAAATAACACAGAAGATGGCTGCAGAACCAACATAGTAACAGATCTCAAAGACACATTTCCTCAGTTTAGACCCTCCCTTTAGTAAACGAATCATTTGCACATTAAAGCTTCAGGTAATTTAAGCAGATCACACATGTGTATCCTGAGCCACAGATCACTTAATTCTAGCACTTAAATGTAGTATCTCAGTTGAGTCTCTATGCTCAGCTGAATATTTCTAAAATTACTTTTGTGACAATGTGATATATTAAGCTTTTCTGTTCGTTGGTTTTCTCAGTTATGAAATATGAATACAATTATAGAAATCCTATAAGTAATTGATACAATGTGTTTGATAGAACTTTGCACATATAAAGTACTACTTGCTACATAAGAGAGCTGTATTTCTAGGAATACATTATTAAGTGTTTTGTTATGAAGATTAAATTTTCCCCCAGGATACTCCTAAAACAAATCTGCTATATGGATAAAATTATTAAGCTGTGTGTCTATGTAGGGGTTACGAGGCTGCCAGACTAAATAAATTGACAAGTTGTTTTCATTATGTCTGTGACTCCCTCCAATGATAAGCATTTTATTATTCTGCATTTTTAATGGCCTAAATCCCACAAGGGATATTTTCAAAGCATTCCACCATATGCCTCTAAAGCCTTATCTCCCATTAGTAATAAAATGAAGCCTGTGGTTTTCAAGTCCCAGCCCAAAGGTTGGGCAAACATTTACTGAATGTCTATTATGTCAGGAATAGGGCTACGTACTGATGATAAAATTTGCTACCTAATTGCTTTATTCCATCTAGTCCTAGGTACAAATATTTACCATCTGGCTCTCTTGTTGTCTAAGTCCTATTTATGATCATTGGACAACTCTAATAGTTTACAAATTCCTGGGGGTTTATTCTGCCATTAATTGTTATTTTTAATTGAAAAACAATTTGTGATTATACATCTATCTGTGGTTTAAAAACAATCATGTACCCATCACTCAACTTAGAAAAATATGTCAACAATTCTTTTGAAGTTTCTGCTTTCTTCCCAAGTCACATCAATTTTTTCCTTCCCCTCAGAAGTAAATACTAACTTGACATTTTTTTTGGCTCAACATTATTTACGAGAGTCATCTATGCTTTTTTGTGTTTGGTGGTGCAACACTTTTCACTGCTGTGTACTATTCTATAGTTTGTTTTAAATTTCTTCAGGAAATAGGTATGTGGGTAGTTGCCATTGCTTTTTGGATGATTCTTTTTGTTTTTGTTTTGCTATGAAGAATAATTCTGCTGTGAAAATTCTTACTCACCTGTCCTATTGCAGTATAGGTGCTTCTCCTGGGAGTGGAATAACTGTTTTAGAGTGTTCACTCTTTTAACTTTGCTGGATAATGTTAAATTATTTCACACAATATTGGTAGCAAACTACACTGGCAATACATGTATAAGAGTTCTCATTATTCCAGTCTTTCCAAAAAGTCAGTGTCAATTTAATTTTTGACAATATGGTAAGCTTACATGGTATACCACTGTAATTTTATTATGTGTTTTCTTGACTAGTACAGATATGTCTTCTCATGTATTCATTGGCCATTTGTGTTATTTGGGTTTCTTTTTCAGGGAATGTTTATTTGTGACATTTGATAATTTTTTTTCCTTATTGATTCATAGATTGTGTGTGTGTAATATTTCTCTTTTATCCCCCGCTCCCACACAAACATAGCCTCCCCCATTATGCACACCCCCCGCCCCCAGCTACCCGGAGTGGTGCACTTGTTATAACTGATGAACCAACACTGATATATATAATTATGCATATGTCTTTATATGTTTAAGAACTATTTGTATTTCCTTTTCTGTGACTGGCATGTTAAAATTATTTTTTTATTTTTATGTTCAATCTATTCATTTTTTATAATATTTACATGAGTTCTTTATATATTAATCAAATTAATCCTTTGTCTGTGATATGTTTAAAAAATATTTTGGCCAGTTTGTAATCTGTCTTTTGATTTTTTCCCCCATGATTTTCTGCCATGCAGGAAGTTTTCATTTTTTCTTTGTCAAATCTATCAATCTTTTATGATTTTTGTGTTTAATGTCTAGTTAGAATGCTCTTCTCACTCCCACAGTTATATATATATAAAAATTTTCTGTGATTTCCTATAGTACCTTATGGTTTCATTTTTCAAATTTGAATATTTTATTTATTTGGAATTAATCCTATTATAAAGTATGAATAAGATATGAATCTGAATTAATTTATTGCTAGATGACTACCAAGTTCTCCAAATACATTTACTAAGTAATGAATATTTTCTTCACTGATTTGACATGCCATGTTTGTCATATACTGTGTTTCAGTTATCTATTGCTGGGTAATAAAGCAGTCAAATATTTACTAGCTTAACACAATACCATTTTATTTGCTCATAGTCCTGTGGGTCAACAATTTGGACTGGATGCAGCTGGGCAGTTCTGCTGGTCTCACGCCAGGGCCACCCTTGTGGCTGGGAAATGACTGGGCTAAGGAGCGTCTACTATCTTCCTGATATATCTTACCGCTTATAATTTTTTAAATATTGTTATTTTGGGTTTTCCAGGTAAACAATCATATTGTCTTCACATGAAGATAATTTCTTTCTAAATTTTCAATTTCAAATTTTGTTCTATTGTTTCATTGTGTTTGCTAGTACCTCCAAAAAATGTTAAATAATGGTAGTAATAATGAGCGTCCTTCCTCTGTCCTTTATTTTAGTCTGAATGTTTCTAATGGTTTCTCCATTAAGTGTAACCTGCATTTTAACAAGAAGTTAGATATATTTTATCATATTAAGGAAACATCCCTGTTTTAGGAGTAAATTTTAATAAACAGGGATGAATGTTGAATTGTATCAAATGATATTTCAGGATCAACGAAGATGATGAAAGAGTAGCAGTGCACCATAATGGTTTAGAAGGCAGAGTCTGAAGTATCTCTGTCAATTACCAGGGTATATAATCCTGGATGAATTTTAAATGTCTTTCATTAACAGTTTATGTATGAACTGGTAAAAATAATGTTTCTTATTTCATATGGAAGCTGTGAGACGTGAGTTAACATATTTAAAGTGCTTAACATAATGCCTGGTACATAGTAAACACCAGAGAAGTGTTAACTATTAGTACATTATTATCATTTTCTCATTAGATCTGTTTATACCATAAATTATATTATTAGATTTAGTCCCATGGGACCATTCTGCATTTCTTGAATAAATCCCATCTTTTTAACAGCAATTAGTCTTTCAGTGGCTAAATTATATTTGTTAATATTTCATTTAGGATTCTCACACTGATATTAATACATTAATTTGATCTATAATTTCCTTTTCTTAGGTAATCTTTTAGAAAATGCATGCAATTTTTGCATTCAGGAGCAGTTAGGAATTCCTTCAATGTTTGGTAGAATTTTCTTATCAACATCTGGATCGGGAGTACTTTTGGAAGGGGTAGCTCATTGACAACTTCTATTTCCTCCATGAATATTGTTTAAATTTTCCATTTCTTCTGGAGTTAGAACTTATCATTTATACTTACCTAAATAAACGTCTATTTTAATCAAATTTAAAAATATTTGCATGCATAATGTTAAGCAGAATATCATAGTCTTTTATTTTTCTCTAAATATGTGACTATTTCTTATTTTGTGATTTTGTGCTTCAGAGAAAGCACAAAAGTTTATGCATTTTTCTTGATTTTGTTAGCAAGTAGTGATCAACGTTTTCCCCCAACTGCCACCTTTGAGTACATTTTTGTATTATTTTCTCTAATTATTATCTGTTATCTAAATCATAAATATTTGCTGTTTCTTTTTTAATTCCTGCCTTCTGCTTCCAACTTCAGGTGAATGCAATTTCATGGAGGTTGAGGGCAAAAACAAAATTGAACACAGTTGGAAGATAAATTGCAGGGAGGACACTGCAGCAGTGTGTACCACTTTACCCCAAAGCTTGAGAGTGAAGAAGAGAGAAATAGGAGGATCATTCAAGAACAAAGTAAGGGAAACTTTTTAAAATGGAAATGATTGGCATATTTACACTCTGATTAGAAAGACTGAGTAAAAGGAAGGACATCAAAGACACAGAGGAAAGAGAAGATAGATGGTAAGGTCCTCTAGATGGATGTAAAGCACAGATAGAAGGATTAACCTCAAGCATGTGGAGGTTACATCATTTTGGGGAGAAAGAAGCAAATCTGGATGCAGTTGGTTAAATCTGTACCTTTGGTGATAGAAAGTTGACTTAGTTTTTAAGTGGTTGCTCTCATTTTCACTGTGACATGGGAGGGAAGGTCATCAAGTGAGAGAGAAAAACAAAGGATGGTCTGAGATCTGAAGAGCTTGAAAAATATATGGAATAGCTTCTATGAAGAATAGGCTGAAAATATGGGTAGAAAAATTCAAAAAATTTCCCAGCAACAACTCTGAACTGACCCAGGAATTGCTTACAAATGTGAGTCCATATTATGCCATTAAACATGTTCACTTAAAGCTGCCTGGCTCTGATATGAGGTTCCAAAATTTCACAAATTTGCTTCTGCCTTATATGTAAGAATCTGTCCTTGTGTTTACTCAATTTTTTACCACTGTCTTCCTGGTTTGTTCCCAAGACTGAGATTTTCTGTTTACCGAATTCTTGTTCCCAAAGAACTGGACTAATGACCTATCTGAAACCTTTGAATTAATATATCAATTATTTTTTGATGCATTTAAAAGAAGAAAACCACTTCGAAACTTAGTAGATGAAAACAGTATCATCAATTTAGTTTTTAATTCTGTGTGTTGACAATTTGAACTTTGCTTGGCTGGATGCTGCTTCTGCTGGTCATAGCCAAGCTCACTCATGTGCCAAAGGCAACTAATTGCTGGTCAGTTAGATCAGAGTTCCCTAACCCCTGGGCCACTGACCAGTACCAGTCCATGGCGTGATAGGAACTTAAAATAATGCCTAGTACATAGTAAACACCAGAGAAGTGTTAACTATTAGTAGATTATTATCATTTACTCATTGGATCTGTTGATACCATGCAGCAGGAGGTGAGTGGCAGGTGAGCGAGCATTACTACCTCAGCTGCACTTCCTGTCAGATCAGCAGCAGCATTACATTCTCAGAGTGTGAACCCTGTTGTGAACTGCACATGCAAGGAATCTAGGTGTGTGCTCCTTATGAGAATGAGAATGTAACTAATGCCTGCCTATCTGAGGTGAAACAGTTTCATACCAAAATCATCTCCCTTGATCCACCACTGGATCTGTGGAAAAATTGTCTTTCAGGAAACCAGTCCCTGCTGTCAAAAAGGTTGGCATCACTGAGTTAGACTGTGTCCAGAATTGATGGGTTCTTCGTCTTGCTGACTTGAAGAATGAAGCACGGACCTCGCAGTGAGTGTTACAGTTCTTAAAGATGGTATGTCCAGAGTTTGTTCCTTCGGATGTTCAGATGTGTTCGGAGTTTCTTCCTTCTGGTGGGTTCTTGGTCTCGCTGGCCTCAGGAGTGAAGCTGCAAACCTTCGTGGTGAACGTTACAGTTCAGAAAGGTGGCGCATCCGGAGTTGTTTGTCCCTCCTGGGGGGTTCATGGTCTCACCGGCTTCAGGAGTGAAGCTGCAGACCTTCTCAGTGAGTGTTACAGCTCATAAAGGTGGAGCAGACCCAAAGACTGGGCAGCAGCAAGATTTATTGCGGAGAAGGAAACAACACAGCTTCCACAGCGTGGATAGGGGACCCCAGTGGGTTGCGGCTGCTGGCTCCGTGGCCTGCTTTTATTCCCTTATCTGGCCCCACCCACATCCTGCTGATTGGTCCATTTTACAGATGGCTGATTGGTCCATTTTCAGAGAGCTGATTGGTCCGTTTTGACAGAGTGCTGATTGGTGCACTTACAATCCTTTGGCTAGACACGAAAGTGCTGATTGGTGCATTTACAATCCTTTAGCTAGACACAAAAGTTCTCTAAGTCCCCACCTGATTAGCTAGACACAGAGCACTGATTGGTACGTTTACAAACCTTTAGCTACACACAGAGTTCTGATTGGTGCTTTTACAATCCTTTAGCTAGACAGAAAAGTTCTCTAAGTCTCCACCTGATTAGCTAGACACAGAGCACTGATAGGTGCGTTTACAAACCTTTAGCTAGACAGAAAAGTTCTCCAAGTCCCCACCAGACCTAGAAGCCCAGCTGGCTTCACCTCTCAAGATGGTTCTGCTTCTGATGGTAGGCTGATGTTTGCTAGCTTGAGTGATGAGGGTGATTAAAGTGTATATCTCTCATCACACAATAGGCTAGCCTGGAAATTATCAAATGGTGGTGACAGCAGGACTTCTAACAACAGCAAGAGAAAAGACAAGCCCCAATAAGCAAGTCATTTTCAAGCACCTACTTGCAACATATTAGACAAAATAAGTCCAATGAATGGGTGAAGAATAGATGGGAGGAGCTGCAATCTTTACATTTCAAAGGGCGTGGGTAGAGGGAATGAGATGAAAATAATTTGTGATCAGTTTTTGTAGTTGGCTACAGTGCACTTCCCAGCAAGACTGGGGCATGCTTTGATCTCACCAGTCACTCCATTTCAAGTGCCTGATCTTCAAAACTTGGGGCACATGTACTTATTCACTGGTGGATCTCCAAGTTGCTGACTTCCTGAACTCCCTAGTTATACACACACTGGAGTCTCCCATTCCTGTTTGCCCAAGTGATAATACAGCCTTCATATTATCTTAAATACCCTCCACTGCATCCCATCGCTACTAGATAGATACTTGTATTCACTGTGATATAAAATACATGGTGGGTTTCTTGGCTTGCCTGTCACATCACACAGTCTTTAGCAATGGCAGCTGAATAAATAATACCTTGTTTTTCCATTTATCTTTCTATGCTGTGCCATTCTGTCTTTGACCTATCTTGCCACCCCTTTTAAATATATTGAACATCCTAAATTCAAAAACCCAAAATCCAAAATGCCCCTAAATCCAGAACTTTTGAGCACCAACCTAGTGCTCAAAGGAAATGCTCATTGGAGCATTTTGGATCTAGGATTTTCAAATTTGGGATGCTCAACTGGTAAGTATAATGCAAATATTCCAAAGTCCAAAATTCAAAACACTTCTGGTCCCAAGCATTTCAGAGAAGGGATATCCAGCCTATACATATTTTCACCTCATTTTCCCTCTATTTACTTCCCAGTCTCAGAACTTGCTCCTCTGTGTGCTTCACTCAGGTTTGAAGAGGCAGCTATGTCTTACCAACTCATCCTAAAAATGATACAGAATATTAAATTGTACAGATAATGAAGCAAACTCAGTTAAGCCTTGTTTGCATTTTCAAAACAAATGGACTAGCGGCAGAATGAGAAATTTTGCTGAGAAAGTTGTTAGTCTTCAGTTTGCTTTTAATATAAGCAAAACTGATTTATTATATCTCCATATCTTTTTGATCCTGAGGGGTGTGTGTGTGTGTGTGTGTGCGCGCGCATGCACGCACGTGAGAGTATATGTAAAAATGGGAGGGGGTGTAACAGATGAACCAGAAAAGTGAAAGACAAAAATACGAAAAGGAACCCAAAGGAGAAAGTGTCTAAACACATGTCTCACACCAGAGGACTGTAAATCTGTGAGCATGTGTGTAAAGTTGTCTGTTATAGACTTATGTTTTATCAGTCACTCAACGTGTGTTTATTGGGTGCTTGCTATGAGATCCACATCATGCTAGAAGTTATGAAGTTGACCCCAGGGGTGAGTACTACACTGGATAAAATTCTATCAGTGGCATGGTTCAGCCTTTTTGCAGTAAGATTCTGGCATAAGAAAAAGTGAAAGAGAGGAGCCAGGAGGTTCCCACATGCAACCTCAGCTGATTGAAACCATATCCTCTTTCATGAAACACTCATTGTGACTTTACTGTCAGGAGATAAAACATCGCTCTTCTCCCCCTACTCCCACTGCCTCGGCCATGTGTTTTCTAGGTAATGCTGCTTTTAATGGAAAGAATATCTTTGTAAGATGGTGCTTATTCCGTGTCCCTCTCAAGTGTCAGGCCATCTGGGTGACTAGAAAAGAAGGACCAGAAAGAACCAGGTTGGAGTCTATTAGAATTACTTCCACGTGAAAAATAAAGAAGCTAGGAGTGTTAGGCAAAAACTAGGAGATTCTGGAAGTTGTTCTCAGAGCCTTAAGATCCTCAACTTCAAAACAAGATTGAATGGCCCACCTCCCATCAGGAAGGCAAGTACAGAAGTGAGACAGTGAGTCTAACTCTCTTCTTCCGACTGGAGAAACGGCACTTTCCATGGAAACAGAGTGAAAGAGAAGTTATTTTGCTCCACATTTCCAGGGTTTTCACTCTCACCTAAGTTGCTTATTGTTATTATTACAATTAATTACTAAAATTTGCCACCTCCTCTATAACAAACACTGTATTAGGCAACTTACACAGACCATTCTATTTAACGTTCTAAACAACTCAGTTTGATCCATACTATTATTCCCATTTTGCAAATTAAGAAACTGATTTTACCAAGTTCTAATCGGCTTATTATAAGGTAGTGATCATAGAATTAAAAAATATTAAGTATCTAAAAAGAACTTGAAGTCAACTCATCCAGCTTCCTGTAAAATCCAGAACTTCTTTCTGCAGCCCTGATTAATGTCTACTCAGCCTTTGTTTAAATAAACCTTCAGACAGGAGCTGGTGTAGTAGAAAATACCTGGATGTAAAATCAGAGGCTTGGATTCAAATTCTACCTCTGCGATATACTAATTAATTGTGTATCTACGTTGGCCAAGTTACTTAACATCTTTAAGCATCACTATCTTCATCTACAAACAGGAGAGAATACCCAAATCACAGAGTTACCATGATGATGAAATGAGATGATACATTTGAACATTACTGGTGAAATCCCTAACATTTCATTCAATGATTCAACAAATTTCATTTGTTGCTTCACCATGACAATCTGTCGCACACAATGAGTATAGTAGTGAACAAAACAGGCATAGTCCCTGAACCCCTGAAGTTTACTTACAGTTTGGTGGGACAGACAATGACCAGTACTGGAAAAAGGGTGAGGTGAGCGAGGCACTTGTCTTTGGTGAGAATTTTAAGGGGACACCAAAATACTCAGTAATCAAGATAAATAAAATTTTAATACAATATTTTTAAAATAAAAATTAATGCAAAATTCCTTCATGGGAAAAAATCAAAATATTACATAAACTCAGAGTCAATATTACTTATTTTTCCTTTTACCTCAGATTCCACTATGGCTCAGCATAGTGCTTCAAATAACAAACAAGTAAACACACACAGCTTGAGATCAAACATGTGTATGTGAGAACTTAGTTGATAAAGAGTGGGAGGATGAGAGCAGGTAGAGGAAACAGCATTCACAACGCCCTGAGATGGGAAAGTGCTTAGAATATTCCAGGGCCTGCGAGAAAGCGGATGAGTGGATGTTGTTGGACTATAATGGCCAAATGACAAGTGGTATGAGGTGGGCAGGAGCAGTGATCAAGGCCAATACAAGGCTAGTGCCCTAGGAAAGGACTTGGGGTTGTATTCCAAGTACAGCAGGAAACCGTGCAAAGATTTTGAGCAGAGGAGTGACTTTTGTTTATGTTTTCAAAAATATTATTCCAGCTGATCAGTAAAGAAGAGATAGGTAGGAAGTAGAAGTACAAAGACCACCTGAGAAGCTATTGCAACCATCTACACCAGAGAGGAAGGTCCTGGCCTAAATCAATGTGTTGATTTGTGTATAATGTGAGTTGCTAGGAAAATAGTGTGGGCTTCGTCACTCTCTAACTGTGTAACTGAGCAAATTGTTTGGCCTCTCCGATCTTTCTTGTTCTCATCTGCAAATTAGAGATATAATAGTAACTACTTGATAATGCACGTAAAAGGCTTGCAATGGCACACGGCAAATAGTAAGTTTTGAAAAACTTCTAGTAGCTGGTTGATACAGACTTCTGAAAGTCTTCTAGTCAATACCGATCTGTTGCATTAAAATGTTGTTACTTTGTATGCTGAGTTATTTTTTAATTAGCAGAGGTAATACTGTTAACAATACTTCCTAAGTATTTCCCAAAGTCATCTATTGCTCTCAAACCCCTCCCTAATTCTAGCTTACATAATCTCTTGCATAAGCTATTGGAATAACATATAACTCATCTTTCTGGCTTCAGTCTCCCGCTGCTCCAGTCTGTCCTTACATATTGCTACAAGCCTAGTTTTTCTAAATAAAAACCAGTTCATTAAATTCCTTTTCTCAAAAAATTTCAGTGCCTTTTTAGTACCATAGAATTAAGTCCAAATTCCTTAGCATGTGCTTGAAAACCCTCGATGATCAAGGCCAACTTTTCCATCTTCACTTGTTCATCCCATAATACCTCTCTGGTCTGCTGCCATTCACCAAACATAGGCATGCTCTCAAGCCTCTGTGCTTTTCTTCAGGCTGTCTCCTTTGCAAGAAATGCACAATCCACCCCCATCAGTCTTTTACAATTTATCTAACAAGATCCAGAGAAGGATTCTCTGCTCCTGCTATAAGAAAAAACAAAATCAAATCTCACTCCCTCTCCTCATTACATTGCTGATATGTATTATACTCCCATCTCTTGTAGCGCACCTACCATGTTACCAATGTACCACATCCTATTTCAGGGTAAAATGAAGAAACATGACTCAAAATAATGGTTAAAATAGTTGTAAGTCATTTAGCAGAGTAATTAAGAACACATTTCTATAAATCTGGCAGACTTGGTTTAAATCCCAGCTCACTGTATAGCCACAGGAATTACTTAGCCTCTCTGATTCCCTGTTATCTTATATGCAAAGCAGAAATAGAAAATTTTGATGCATTGTACTGTTGTAAATAATACACTAGAAAATATATTTAAAGCTCCTAGTATTGTAGGTGGTTCAGAATAGGCATATGATAAACAGTCCTGTGTTACTGGTGTGGACGTAAAACCATATGAGACTTGTAATTATATAGAGCTAGAGTCAAATACCAGCTTAATCATATTATATATTATATGTGTCTTTGGGCAAGTCATTTAACCTCTCAGTTTCTTCACTGGAGATATTGATACCCACAAATCAAAGAGATTTTTATGAAAATAGAAAAATGGCAATAAAAATATATCAATAGCCAATCTTTAATAAGAAGTCACCATGAATGAGAATTTATTCTGTTTTGCATGTATAGACTGATTTCATTCCCAAAACAACTCTATGAAGGAGATGCTACTACTATCCCCTTTCTCTAGATTAGGGAACTGGCACAGAGAGGTTAAGTAATTTGCTGAAGATCTAACAGTTAATAAATAGTAGAACTGGCATTTAAGCACAAGTAGTATGGATTCAGAGTCTAAGCTCTCATAACAAATAGAGAATGGAATTGAGTACCTGGCATCCGGTAAGTTCTTATAACAAATAGAGAACGGAATTGAGTACCTGGCATCTGGATATTGAAATATATGTTACAGAGCCCCCTTCTTCCCTTCTAATTCCCTATGTCAGGAAAGGGACCATGTTTTACTTAACTCCATAGCTTTGGCACAAAGCACCATGCCTAGCATATAGGTAGACATATGCTGGACTTGGTTTGTCCTAATTTTCAAAAGCTAACTGTACAACTCTCTTCCCAACTCCATGTTCAGTGATGTCACATTGTTACTGTGAAATTAATTATGTGGAAGTATGATGCCACAGGAATAGGCCAGTGCGACATGAATCCTGAACTTCAAAATTGAGACATTAAATTCCCTTTTTTGTCAAGCTGGCTTGAGTTGGGTTTCCATCATTTGCAATCCAAACAGGTCAGGCTAAGAAATCTGTTATTTCAGATATTCTTAGAAAGGCTAATAATGAGGAAATGTGCCATCCAGCAATATTCCACGAGATTAATTTTCTAGGAAGAATTCATGGAAGATTATTATAAGGATGCGGCTTTCATATTATGGGAAAAGAGGGCAGTTGTTCTAAAAGTTCTGCCTCATCAAATTATTTAAACACTCAGATGTTCCATCCCATATGCTTAGCAGACAATCTGAGGTAGGTAAGGGAAAACTAAGCACATAGATTTTTAGTGTGAGTTTTTAACTGTTGGTGACTGGTGCTATATTTTATAGATATAGTTGATTGCTGAACAGAGACTGCTGTTACCATTGTTGCTTCTATTATGGCTCTAGCAGCTAGACATGTTGTTGCTTTTGCCAAAGAATACAGCAACAAAATTAAACAAAACAAAGAGCTTCTCCTTTCTTTTGCAGATGGCAGTGTGGGTGGTCGTAAGGACCCATAAGATTTTGTTTAATTTGTAAGACTCTACTTCATAAAAGTTTGTTTTGTAACAATGCTTTACACTTGCATTATGTTTTATATTTTTTGAAGTGCAAAGTTTAAAAAATGCATTATTTGTTTTGAACTTCATAGTACTCATAGTAAATAAAGACAGATACAGGGAAGTTAAGTCACATGTTCAATATTACAGCCACATAATGGCAGAGATGGAATAATAATTCAGATCTATAGTCTCAATCATTGGTCTTGCACTATCATGAGCTGCTGGTAAGTTTCAGATCTTGTTCCTCTGGGTGGTCTACATTAGTCTTCCAGGTGTTTGAGAAACTAATCAAAATGAAAAAAGAAAGAAGCAAAAGCATTCTTCTCTTTTGGATTTAAATCTATAACAAAATGCAAAAAATTAGCCAGAACTGGAAAACCTGTGAAATGGCAGTCTAAGTCCAAACACCTATCTAAGGTCTCAGGAAAAGAGTTACAAGAGTTTATTTTATTATCTTTTATTTTTTAATGGTGGTGTTATAGTAAGTTTGGCCTAAAGCAGCCTTCTTACCTATTTTAAGCTCAGCCCAAGGGTTTCTCCGTATATAATGAATTATAACCCAACCTGATGTGTAAGCAGCCTGAAACTTACCATTGTAATAAGTATATGATTCTCAGCTAATTATGGCAGCCCAACTTCAGTCAACCACAGGTAGCCAAACTATTCAAACCAGGTTCAAATAAACACTCAGTTTTAACCAATTCATCTATTTCTGTACTTCAGTTATATTTTCTGTACATCACTTTTCTTTTCTGACTATAAATGTTATCCAACCATGTGGAAGCCCTGGAGTCACTCTGAACCTGTTCCAGTTCTAGAGGCTGCCTGATTTGTAAACATTCTTTGCTCAATTAAACTCTATTAAATTTAATTGGTCTAAAGTTTTTCTTTTAACAGTGGGATGCAAATATATGTAGATGGCCTAAAAAGTCTTTAACCCTGCCAAGTAGATTTTTAAAAATTAGATAATATATACTAAAATACCTCAACCAGATCAGAAAGATAACCAGGACACATCATATATGTCCTATTAGAACATTTCTTCCTTTAATAAGTGTTTATTAAACACTGAGTATATGCTAAGTACAGTGCCCAATGCTGAGAATAATTCAAAGGTACATAGATTGAGAGTTTCTACTTTTAATTAGCTCAGATATAGCCATTAAACAACAGGATTCTAAATGAAAATGAGTTGATGTGTCAGTAATATTCACCAAGAAGTCTGAGTCTTAGTTTGTCGATTGTAAAACAGAAAACACAGAGATTTGGGGAAAAAACAAGCAACTAATTGACATTCAATGTTGATCAGAAAATATAAATTATTTTAAGTAGGCCTTTAAGTTTCTGGATTCCAGTTCTTTATCCTTTGATATACTTGGAGATCATTTGTGTTGGCCCTTCTTTCCCTCTGACTAAATTCAATAGTTGGAGGCTAACTGGTGCCCAACAGTCATGGGGATATATGTAATTCTGGGAACCAGTATTCCCACAAAGGTAATATGAATGATTTTCAAGAGCATAGGTAGATATCTTTCCTTAAAGGACCACATTAAAAAAATCCACTAAAGTTGACAAAATTAAACATAAGGGTAAGATGAAGTATAAATTAGAGTAGTGGGGAAATTACATTCCATCTGTTGCCCTTACTTTTTTTACTATGGTAAAATACATATTACATAAAATGTACCATCTTAACCATTTTTAGATGTTCAGTTCAGTTATATTATGCACATCAATGTTGTTGTGCAACCATCACCAGCATCTATCTCCAGAACTCCTTTCATCTTGAAAGACCAAAACTTGATACCCATTAAACAATAACTCCTCACTGTCCCCTACCTCCAGTCCTTGGTAACCACCATTCCACTGTCTGCCTCTATGATTTTGATTACTCTAGTTACCTCATATAAATGGAATCATACAGTATTTGTGTTTTTGTGGCTGGCTTGTTTCACTTAGCATAATGTCCTCAATGTTCATCCATGTTGTAGTATGTGTCAGAATTCCTTTCCTTTTTTAAGGTTGAATAATATTCCATTATATGTATATAACATTTTCTTTAACGATTCACCCACTGATGGACATTTAGGTTGCTTCAACTTCTTAAGTATTGTGAATAATTCTACAATGAACATAGGTGTAAAAATATCTCTTTGAGATCCTGTTCCCAATTCTTTTGAGTATATGCCCAGAAGTAAAATTGCAGCATCGTATAATAAATCTATGTTTTGTCTTTGAGAAACTGCCATACTGTTTTCAATAGTGATTGTAAAATTTTGCATTTCCTCCAACAGCACACAAGGATTCAAAGTTTTCCTCATCCTCGCCAACGCTTATTTTGTTTTTGTGATATTATTGATCCTAATGTGTAAGGTGATATCTCATTGGTTTGATTTACATTTCCCTAAAATTAGTGAGGTTGAGCATCTTTTCATATGCTTTCTGGCCATTTGTATATTTTCTTTGGAGAAATGTCTATCCAAGTTCTTTGCCCATATTTGTATCAGTTCTGGGTTTTTTGTTGTTGTTGAGTTTCAGGAGTTATCTATATATTGTGGATATCAACCTCTTATCAGATATATGATTTGTTAACATTTTCTTGAAGCCTGTAGTAGGTAGATTGCCTTTTCACTCTGTTGAATATTTCCTTTGATGCAAAAAAGTCTTTAATTGTTATGAAGTCTAGTTTGTCTACTTTTTATTGTTGCATGTGCCTTTAAAGTCATATCCAAGAAATTATTACCAAATGAAGTGTCATATAGCTTTTTCCCTATGTTTCATTCTAAAAGTTTTTATATGTCAGCTCTTATGTTTAGGTCTTTCACCCATTTTGAGTTAATTTTGTATATGATGTTAGGTAAGCATCAAAATTAATTTTTTACGTGTAAACATCCAGTTTTCCTAGCACAATTTGTTGACAAGACTGTCCTTTCCCCATTGAATGGTCTTGACACCTTTTCCAAAAATCATTTGACCATATATGTGAGTGCTTATGTCTGGGCTTTCTATTGGTATATTCCACTCCATTGGTATATATGTCTGTGTTTATGCCAGTGCCACATTGCTTTAATTACCATAGCTTTGTAGTAAGTTTTCAAATCTGAAAGTGAGAGTCCTACACTTTGTTCTTTTTTTTTTTTTTTCAAAATTGTTTTGATTATTTGGGGTCCTTAAGTTTCTACGTAATTTTGGGGATGGGTTTATTTTAATCTCATTTAATCAAAAAATGTTGCTGATATGTATATCAATATTGCATTAAATCTGTATAAGACTGCCGACAGGGCAGTCTTGACATTCTGACAATATTATAATATTGTCTTTCAATCAATGAATATGAGATATATTTTCATTTATTTTATGTCTTCAATTTCTCTTAGTACAGTTTTATACTTTTTATCGTACAAGTCTTTTGCCTCCTTGGTTAAATTAATTCCTAAGTATTATATTCTTTTTGATGCTACTGTAAATAAAATTTTATTAATTTCTTTTTCAGATTGTTCATTGTTAGTGTATAGAAATGAAACTAAATTTTGTGTGTTGATTGGTGTCTTGCTACTCTGCTGAATTTATTAGTTCTAACAGGACTGCTTGTGGAATCTTTAGAGTGTCCTATATATAAGATCATGTCTTCTGCAAATAGAGATAATTTTGCTTCTTCCTTTCCAATTGGATTATTTTATTTAAAATTTTTCTTGCCTAACTACTTGGCTAGGACTTCCAGTACTATATTGGATAAAAGTTTCTGGGCCATGAAAAACATGAGAAAACCAGAACAATGTGTATTAGTCCGTTCACCCACTGCTACAAAGAGCTACCTGAGATTGGGTAATTTATGAAGAAAAGAGGTTTAACTGACTCACAGTTCCACAGGCTATATAGGAACCATGGCTGGGAGGCCTCAGGAAACTTACAATCATAGTAGAAGGGCAAAGGGGAAGCAAGCATATCTTAACATGGCAGCAGGAGAGAAAGCAAGTGAAGGGGAAAGCACCACACACTTTTAAACATCAAATCCCCTGAGAACCCACTCATTTTCACAAGAACAGCAAGGGTGAATCCACCCCTATGATCCAATCACTTACTACAAGGTCCTCCACCAACACTGGGAATTATAATTCAACATGAGATTTGGGTGGGGACACAGAGCCAAACCATATTAAGTGATATAAAGGGATAATTTTGGATGGCCTTATTTTGCCTCACAAATGTAAGAACAAGATAAAATGCACTAGAAAGGTAGGTAATATGCAAACAAAATATACAGAGTAGGTGGAGCATTAAAATAGATTTTTACCTAATGTTTTATGTGCACTTTCTATGCTCTAAACATTGTACTATTTATATAAACTATTCCATCTGATTTTCACAATAATTCTATGAGACAAATATCACATTTTTATTTTACACGAGTAAATAAAATGTCACATAACTATTAAATGGAGGTCTAAGACTCCAAATCAGGTCTACCTGCATCCAAAGCCCAGAATGTTCACTTCATTATTGAGAGGTAGGAAATGGAGGGCATAATCGCCACACTGCTATTACATTATTGTGTGACTTGGTGCAAATAATTTCTCTTATCTGGTCTTCATGTTTTTTATTTGTAAAATATAGGAACTGAATTCAATGGTTTCTAAGTTCTCATTTAATTTTAACATCCTAACATTCTGATCAAATTGTCCTTCATTTCCTTGCAGATTTTTTTTTTTTTTTTGAAACGGAGTTTCATTCTTCTTGCCCAGGCTGGAGTGCAATAGTGCAATATCAGCCCAGGTTCAAGCGATTCTCCTGCCTCAGCCTCCTGAGTAGCTGGGATTACAGGCACGTGCCACCACGCCCGGCTAATTTTTGTATTCTTTAATAGAGACAGAGTTTCACCATGCTGGCCAGGCTGGTCTAGACCTCCTGACATCAGGTGATCCACCCGCCTCGACCTCCCAAAGTGCTGAGATTACAGGCGTGAGCCACTGCGGCCAGCCCCTCACAGATTTAACATATCAAAATATTGTTGAAAAAAATATGATGAGCTGCTTTTTTTTTGTTCTATTTTCCCCCCACCTGTCTTTTGTTCCATGAACCACAAAAGAATTTGATTTGGATTGCAATAACATTCCCAGAGCTTCCTTGTGTGTCAAACATTAAAAAAGATAGTTTTACATTCTTCTAAAAATGTTAAAGAGACATTTTCCTTTGAAATATGTAAACATACAGGTGATCCCAGTGCTTTAAGAGTGATAACTTGCCAGCAACATAAAATGTCAGATAACTGCTTTCCTGGAGTGGGAGTTCACTCCTGAGGAGGGCTTTCAACAGGGACAGGGGAAAGTAGGCAGTCTGTAATAGGACTTTTTGAAAAAGCATATTAAACAGCACGATAAAATAAAAGTGTGCTTTTTTGAAAAATGGGGGGGGGCGTTTTATTTTGCTGTTATTAAGTAAAACTAAAACTCTGCTTAGCTGGTGATGAATATATGGAAGCAGTGATTCTCTATGGGGAAGAGAGGAGAAGACAGGAAGAGAGGGGAAGATGAGCAGTAATCAGGAAAGGACATGAAAGGATATGAAACTAAGTCTTCTTGGGAGTTAAGTTTTTTTTTCTTTTTGTCTTATTTTACTACAAAAGAAATATGTGCATATTGTAAAAAGTCAAGCTATAAAGAAACACATAAAGACAAACTTAACAGGTTCTTAGTCACAAAAACCCACACATATAGACACAGATGCACATACATAATTGTTTCTTACTTTCTTTTGCTCTGTGCCTTTTGCTGCCTCTCTTTCTTCATCATTTTCTTTATTCTTTCCTTGCTTCTTTACAAAAATCAGTTGTACTATAAATATTAATCTGCAACACACTTTCTTCATGTAACAATTCATCATGAATTGCTCTCTCTATGTATGATACATATTTATAACACATAAATATATAAAAGATTAAATTGGATATATATATATGTTATACACAAATATTCCATTTTCCTATGTTAAATACCTCATATTTATATTAAATATTTCATAATATGGGTCTACAACCATTCCTATATTATTATTATTATCATCATCATCATTATTATTATTTTACACAGAGTCTTGCTCTGTCACCAGGCTGCAGTGCAGTGGCGTGATCTTGGCTCACTGCAACCTCCACCTCCCAGGTTCAAGTGATTCCCAAGGCTCAGCCTCCTGAGTAGCTGGGAATACAGGCGTGCACCACCACGCTCGGCTAATTTTTCGTATTTGTTTGGTAGAGACGGGGTTTCACCATGTTGGCCAGGATGGTCTGGATCTCCTGATCTCATGAACCACCTTCCTCGGCCTCCCAAAGTGCTGGGATTACAGGCGTGAACCACCACACCCGACCCACCATTCCTATATTAAAGGGCATTTGTTTTCTGAGATATTTCATGTGTATCAAAAAAAAGATGAGGGAAGTAAGTCTTATATTCACGTCTGATATTGAAACTGGAAGATCTGGACAGTAGCGGGCACAAAACTAGATTAGTCAGCTCAAAGGGCTACATAGCTAGGCCTGCCTTAAAAATAGACAGTTCATATGGCAGAAATGGAATAAATTCCTAACATCATAAAGTCACTGGATGAAACAGCTAAAAGGGACTTAAAAGTAACTATCTCCAGCCCCCTGATTTTGCCAAGGTAGAAATTGAGGCCCAGAGAGGTTGTCTTCCTCAAGGTCACATAACTGGTAAAGTGTCACAGTCCTCATTAAAGTCTTGTGGGGTCTGGACTAGCCTTCCATAAAAGAAAGTAATAAAAGGATATTTATTATAAGCCCATCTATTATCAGGTACTGATGTGTTTCCTTCTCTGAGTGGTTTGAGTTATACGCAGGCAGATTTTAAATCCTATATATTTTGGCCCCCATTTTTGTCATTTTTCCATACACTTTCCCATTTATCCTATACATAGGCATAACATTTCTGGATTAATGCATTTTAGATTTAAAAAACCATTAGTAAGCCTCCTGTACCAACTGAGGAGGCAGCAGCATTGGTTAAAACTAGTCATGGTTAAAAGCCTGGATTCCAATCCCTACTTTACCTCTTCCTGGTTGCATGATCTTGGCTAAGTTAATTGACCTCTCTAAGACTCAGTTTTACCATCTATAATGGGAGCAAATTATAGATTCTGCCTTATGTTGTCATTGCAAGGATTCAACGAGAAAATAAAAGATAAGGCCAGGGAGGGAGGGAGGAGGCCTGTTGCTCACACACATCCCGGGGATGGGTTCTGCTGCCAGTTGTTGCAGCTTGCTGTGAAATTGAGGCACATTGGGACCGCGTGCCCCATGCCTACTGGTCTTCCCCAAAGCTGCCTACTTGATTGTTCCCATGGAGAGAGGCCTGCCCTTCCTGGCAGCAGGGCTGCAGTGCAGCCACACTGCCTGAGTATTCTGCTAATCCTGGACCAGCCTGCCCCTATCACAATCAGTGCTTGAGTCCAGGGGGCCTGAGAACAAGTCTGCTGGCCCAGGCCCATCCCCCTGGGACTCAAGCACACTGTCCACAGGTATGGTGATGAGATATGTGAACTGACATCAGGCAGAGAGATGTTTTCATGGTCAGAACTGAGAGGAGAGTGTGGCATGGTTTGCACTGCTGTATGAAAGCTGGCAACCCCTCCCTTCATGGACCAGACTGGAAAGAGTATAGCCTGAGAGCCACACTTTCTGCCCCTAGGCATGGATTCTTTCAGCCTGGGGCATCTTCATGATCTAAATGCAGTCTGCTAAGAACTGGGCTAGCTGTTCTGGCCTGCTGCTTGCTGCCAGACACTGGAGAGAGACCCATCTGGTAGAGGGCATGGTAACTGGATGAGTCCCACTACCATCTGCTGGGCTGTGGATTCCAGGAATGTCCCCCAATGCTCCATGGGAGTTCTTCGGAAGGACAGAAGCACCTCCATCCCTCCCTGGAAAGTTGCTCCAGTGACCTGAACTCTGAACCCTTCCAGGTTCAGTGCCTGCACCTGCCATTAGAGGTTCAAACCCTGCCAGGGTCAGTGCTTGCACCTGCTATTAGAGAGCCTGGTCAAGGGCTTGCTTGACTCAGCCACATCCAGCTTTGCCCCCTCCACCTGCCTCAGTGGTAGAACACCAGATGGGGATCCCAGGGAGTCCCATAGCCCCACTCATCACCCAGGATATCAGAGTATTTCTTCTGATTAACAATGGCCAAGCATAAATCCCACTGCTACCACTGCAGCTGCCTCTACTACAATCACCACCTACTGGCCAGCAAGTGGAACTGTACAACCAAATACAATACCTGCAGACAGATGTGCACACCAGTGAGGAATTAGATAAGCTTCCTAAGAAGCTCTCCATCTCTGCAGGAGGCAGTGAGCTTGCTCACATACCCAGTACACTGCCACTACAACTTACAAACAGCCAGTATTTGAGAAAATCACCCCACTAAGGCTATTTATAAGAGAATTCATACAGAGCCTTGAGCTCCTAAAAGCACCCAGAAGCAAAGCCAAAGAACCTACCCAACATATGCTGCAGTCACACTCTCAAAGAGTGAAAAGAAAAAGCCCCATTCAAACAAAAGTATATGCAAAAATAAGAAGTGACAGCTTCTCCAGGTGAAAAGGAATTAGCATAAGAACTCTGGCTGTATAAAAAAAACAGGCCATTTCAACACCCCTAAAGGATCACACTAGCTCTCTAGCAATGGATTCTAACTAAAATAAAACTTCTGAAATGACAGATAAAGAATTCAAAATACTAATTGTAAGAAAGCTCAATAAGATCCGAAAGAAGGTTGAAAATCAACACAAAGAAATCAGCAAAACAATTCAAAATATGAATTAAAAATTTACTAGAGAAAGAGACACTTAAACTCTCATGGAACTTCTGGAAATAAAAAATTCACTGAAGGAATTACAAAACACAGTTGAAAGCATTAATAGACTAGACCATGCAGAAGAAAGAATTTTAAAGTTTAAAGATGAAAATAAAGAAAAAATAATGTAAAAAATGAACAAAGTCTTCAAGGAATATAGAATTATGTAAAGTGAGCAAAACTATGAGTAGTAGGTATTCCCAAGGGAAAACAAAAACAAAAACAAAAAGTTTGGAAAACCTATTTCAGGGAATAATTCAGGAAAATTTCTGTGGCCTTGCTAGAGATTTAGACTTCACGATAAAAGAAGATCAAAGAACATGTGGAAGATACTTTGCAAAATGAACTTCATCAAGGCATGTAGCCATCACACTATCCAAAGTCAACATGAAAAAAAAATCTTAAAAGTAGCACGAGAGAAGTGTCTAATCACCTCTAAAGGAAATCCTATCAGACTAATAGCAGAATTCTCAGCAGAAACCTTACAAGCCAGAAGAGACTGGGGTCCTATTCTCACTTTTTTCAAAGAAAAAACCTGTGAGCCAAGAATTTTGTATCCTGCTAAATGAAGAAGCTTCATAAATGAAGGAGAAATAGTCTTTCACAGATAAGCAAATGCTAAGGAAATTTATCACCACTAAACTGGTTCTACAAGAAATGCTCAGAGTTTTAAGCATGAAAACAAAAGGGCAATACTCATCATCATAACAACACACAAAAGCATAAAATCACAGGTCTTATGAACCAATTACACAACTGCAACTAGAAAGCAACTAGGAAACAATTAACATTATAATGGGAACAAAACCTCACATAACAATAGTAACTTTGAATGTAAATGAACTAAATGCTCCACTTAAAAGATACAGACCAGTGCAATAAAAAACAAGATCCTACTATATGATGCTTACAAGAAACCTATCTAACTAGTAAAGATTTACAGATCCAAGAGAAAGAAAGAAAGGGATGGAAAAAGATATTTCATACAAACAGAAACCAAAACTGTGCAGGAGTGTCTATATTTATATCAGACAAAACAGACTGTAAACCAATAACAGTAAAAACAACACAAAGAAGGTTTGACATAATAATATAGGGATCAATTCAATGGGAAGATATTTCAGTCCAAATATGCATCTAATATGAGAGTACCCAGAATTATAAAAAAAAAAACAACAAAAAACTAGACTTAATGAAAGACATAAAGAGCAATATAATAATAGTGAAGGACTTCAACACTTCACTGACAACACTGAACAGATCATCAAGGCAGAAAAATCAACAAAGAAACTGTGGACATAAATTGGACTCATGACCAAATGGACCTAACAGACATTTACAGAACATTTCCCCAACAACTGCAAAGTTTACATTCTTCTTATGGAACATTCCCCAATAAAGACCATATGCTGGGGACAATGTAAGTCTCAATAAATGTTTTAAAAATTGAAATCACATCAAGTATCTTCTCAGATAACAGTGGAATAAAACTAGAAATTAATACCAAAAGGAACTCTCAAAAAACTATGCAAGTGCATGGAAATTAAACAATCTGCTCTTGAATGATCTTTGGATAAGTAATGAAATTAAGAAAGAAATTTAAAAATTTTTGAAATTAATTAAAAGAGGCACAACATACCAAAACCTCTGGCATACAGCAAAAGCAGTGCTAAGAAGAAAGTTTATAGTGTTAAATGTCCACATCAAAAGAGAAAAGCACAAAATTAATAACCTAACATGGAACCTCAAGAAACTAGAAAAACAAGAACAATCCAAACCCAAAGCTAGCAGAAAAAAAAAGAGTAGAGTAGAACTCCATGAAATTGAGACCAAAAACCATACAAAGGATTAATGAAATTAAAAATTAGTTATTTAAAAGGATAAACAAAATTGATAGATTGCTATCTTTATTAATGAAGAAAAAAGAGAGAAAATTCAAATAAGCACAATCAGAAATTATAAAGGTGACTTTTCAACTGATACCACAGAAATACAAAAGATCATCAGAGATCACTATGAGCATCTCTACATACACAAACTAGAAAACCTAGAAAACTTAGAGGAAATGGATAAATTCCTGGAAACATACAAGCTCCCAAGATTGCAGCAGAGTGAAATGGAAATTCTGGGCAAACCAGTAATAGTAAAATTGTCTCAGTAATAAAAAAAATCTTCCAACAATGAAAAGTCTGGGACCAGAAAGATTCACAGCTGAATTCTACCACACATACAAAAAAGAACTGACTCCAAATATGCCCTGCTTTTTACTTTATCAAACAATGCAGGAAAACTTTATTGCAAAGTATCTCCTGTGTTTTTGTTCTGTGTGGTTTTTAATGAGACAACAATAATGATAATAAGGAAAAGCAGTTTTGATTTATGATAGCTGAGGGGTACTGGATCTGTATAAATGTGATATAATTCATTAATTAGATGGAGTTTATCTTTAGTGTCATATTCAACTCTGGCATTTTAATAATTCTAAGCTTTCCATTAGAGAAAACATCTTATGCCCTTGAGAAAAGAGGGATCTGGAACACTGGCTCAGATTTCCTTCTTTACCAGGACTGTATGCAGGTTTTAGAAGCATACGTGGACCCAGATTCACACCAGCATTTGGCCAGGCCTGTCATAATCCCAGTCAGGGAGCACACTAGACATCTTTTCCTTTTGCCCACGACTAGGCCAATGCATTCACTGTGCTCAGGGAGCCTCTACCTTTTCCAAATTCCATCAAAAGCAGTAACTGAATAAATAAGAAGAAAAAAGTTGAGTGTAGCTGTTAAGCATCTTACTAAAAAAAAATGAGGCCCCACCTGCCACAGCAACAAACTTACTCATCACCAAGTCATCCTCAGGTTTATGATGTATGCAAAGGCTCACGACCCTACCTGTGAACTCCCTAGACGTAAACTTTTCATCTCAAACAGATGGGTAATAACATGGAACTTTTTTCTTAGTAAAAATTACCCCTCCTTTTATCAACTGGTCAGATCATACCAGACATCAAAGTGTTCTCATATCTAACCAAGCACAGAAGTCTGTTTTTGTTGTGCACTGGGTAACGGGAAAGGGTTAAAGCAACATTTTTCAAGCTTAAGACCTATCCAAGACCAACACACCTAGCACTTTTTTAGTTAGTGCATAGGCTTGTTCAAAGTTAGGCTGTTGGATGACCTCAAAGAAGAAAAATTCATCTTCAACTGAAGAAAGGACTTTTATATTACTGGAGTAATTATTTCTATTATTATTATTTTACTTCAATACATTTTTGGGGAACATGTAGTGTTTGGTTACATGGATAAGTCCTTTATTGGTGATTTCTGAGATTTTGGTGCACCCATCACCAAAAGGTGTACACCACTGTACCCAATGTATAGTCTTTTATCCCTCACCCCCCTCCCACCCTTTCCTCTGAGTACCGAAGACCACTATGTCATTTTTATGTCTGTGAGTCCTCACAGCTTAGCTCCCACTTTTAAGTGAGAAATTACAATTTTTGGTTTTCCATTCCTGAGTTACTTCACTTAGAATAATGGTCACCACTTCCATCCAGGTTGCTGCAAAAGCCATTGTTTCATTCCTTCTTATGGCTATTATTCCATGGTGTGTATATATATACCACACTTTCTTTATCCATTCATTGATTGGTTGACATTTGGGTTGCTTCCATATTTTTGCAATTGTAAATTGTTCTGCTATAAACATGAATGTGCAAGTATCTTTTTTGTATAATGGCTTCTTTGCCTCTGGGTAGATACCCAGTAGTGGGATTGCTGGATCAAATGATAGATCTACTTTTAGTGCCTTAAGGAATCTCCATACTGTTTTCCATAGTGGTTGTACTAGTTTACATTCCTACCAGCAGTGTAAAAGTGTTCTCTTTTCACCACATCCATGCCAACATCTATTATTTTTTAATTGTTTTGATTATGGCCATTCCTGAAGAAGTAAGGTGGTATCACATTGCGGTTTTGATTTGCATTTCCCTAATCATTAGTGATGTTGAGCATTTTTTCATATGTTTGTTGGCCATTTGTATGTCTTCTTTTGAGAATTGTCTATTCATGTCCTTATCCCACATTTTGATGGGATTATTCGTTTTTTTTCTTGCTGATTTGTTTGAGTTCCTTGTATATTCTGGATATTAGTCCTTTGTTGGATATATAGACTATGAAGATTTTCTCCCACTCTGTGTGTTGTCTGGTTACTCTGCTGATTATTTCTTTTGCTGTTCAGAAGTTTTTTAATTTAATTAAGTCACATCTATTTACCTTTGTTTTTGTTGTACTTTATTGTTCATGAAGTCTGATATGGTTTGGCTGTGTCCCCACCCATATCTCCTCTTGAATTGTAACTCCCACAGTTCCCACATGTCCTGGGATGAACGCAGTGGGAGGTGATTGAATTACGGGGCAGATCTTTCCTGCACTGTTCTTGTGATAGTGAGTGAGTCTCACAAGATCTGATGGTTTTAAAAACGGAAGTTTCCCTGCACAAGCTCTCTCTTTGCCTGATGCCATCCACATAAGATGTGACTTGCTCCTTCTTGCCTTCCACCATGATTGTGAGGCCTCCCAAGTCACGTGGAACTGTGAGTCCAATTAAATCTCTTTCTTTTGTAAATTGCCCAGTCTCAGGTATGTTTTTATCAGCAGCATGAAAACGGACTAATACGGTAAATTGGTACCAGTAGAGTGGGGCATTGCCGAAAAGATAAGCAAAAATGTGGAAGTGACTTTGAAGCTGGGTAACAGGCAGAGAGGTTGGAACAGTTTGGGGGGCTCAGAAGAAGACAGGAAAATGTGGGAAAATTTAGACCTTCCTAGAGACTAGTTGAATGGCTTTGCTGAAAATGCTGACAGTGATATGGACAATAAAGTCCACACTGAGGTGGTCTCAGATGGAAATGAGGAACTTCTTGGGAACTGGAGCAAAGGTGACTCTTGTTATGTTTTAGCAAAGAGTCTGGTGGCATTTTGTTCCTACCCTAGAGATTTGTGAAACTTTCAACTTGAGGGAGGTGATTTAGAGTATCTAGTGGAAGAAATTTCTAAGTAGAAAAGCATTTAAGAAGTTACTTGGGTGCTGTTAAAGGCATTCAGTTTCAGAAGGGAAGCAGAGCATAAAAGTTCATAAAATTTGTAGCTGGACAATGCGATAGAGAAGAAAATCCCATTTTCTGAGGAGAAATTCAAGCCAGCTGCAGAAATTTGCATAAGTAACGAGGAGCCTAATGTTAATCCACAAGACAATGAGGGAAAATGTATCCAGGGGATGTCAGAGGTCTTCACAGTAGCCCATCCCATCAGAGAATCAGAGGTCTAGGAGGAAAAAGTGGCTTTGTGGGCTGGGCCCAAGGTCCACTTTTTGTGTGCAGCGCAGGGACTTGGTGCCCTGCATCTCAGCTGCTTCAGCCATGGCTGAAAGGAGCCAATGTAGGGCTCAGTCCATGGCTTCAGAGGTTGCAATCCTCAAGCCTTGGCAGCTTCAACATGGTGTTGAGCCTGCAAGTGCACAGAAGTCAAAAATTGAGGTTTGGGAAACTCCATCTAGATTTCATAAGATGTATGGAAATGCCTGGATGCCCAGGCAGAAGTTTGCTGTAGGAGCAGGGCTTTCATGGAGAACCTCTGCTAGGGCAGTGTGGAAGGGAAATGTGGGGTTGGAGCCCCCACACTGGGTCCCTGCTGGGACACTGCCTAGTGGAGCTGTGAGAAGAGGGCTACCATCCTCCAGACCCCAGAATGGTAGACCCACTAACAGCTTGCACCATGTGCCTGGAAAAGCTAGACACTCAACACCAACCCATGAAAGCAACCAGAAGGGAGGGTATACTCTGCAAAGCCACAGGGGTGGAGCTGCACAAGACCATGGGAACCCATCTCTTGCATCAGGGAGACCTGGATTTGAGACATGGAGTCAAAGGAGATCGTTTTGGAGCTTTAAGATTTTTGTTTGTTTGTTTTGTTTTGTTTTGTTTTGAAACAGAGTCTTGCTCTGTCACCCAGGCTGGAGTGCAGTGGCACGATCTCGGCTCACTACAAGCTCTGCCTCCTGGGTTCATGCCATTCTCCTGTCTCAGCCTCCCTAGTAGCTGGGACTACAGGTGCCCGCCACCACACCCAGCTAATTTTTTTTATTTTTAGTAGAGACAGGGTTTCACCGTGTTAGCCAGGATGGTCTCGATCTCCTGACCTCATGATCTGCCCGCCTTGGCCTCCCAAAGTGCGGGGATTACAGGTGTGAGCCACTGTGCCTGGCTGAGCTTTAAGATTTTACTGCCCTGCTGAATTTTGGACTTGCATGGGACCTGTAAACCCTTTGTTTCGGCCAATTTCTTTCTTTTGCAATGGCTATATTTACCCAATGCCTGTACCCCCATTGTATCTAGGAAGTAACAACTTGTTTTTGATTTTACAGGCTCGCAGGCAGAAGGGACTTGCCTTGTTTCAGATGAGACATCAGACTATGGACTTTTCAGTTGATGCTCAAATGAGTTAAGACTTTGGGGGACTGTTGGGAAGGCATGATTGGTTTTGAAATGTGTGGACATGAGATTTGGGAGGGGCCAGGGGCAGAATGATATGGTTTAGCTGTGTCCCAACCCATAACTCATCTTGAATTGTAACTCCCACAATTCCCACATGTTGTGGGAGGAAGCCAGGGGAAGTGATTGATTTATGGGGGCAGGTCTTTCCCATGCTGTTCCTGTGATGGTGAATGAGTCTCATGAGATCTGATGGTTTTAAACATGAGAGTTTCTCTGCATAAGCTCTCTCTTTGCCTGCCACCACGCTCATAAGATGTGACTTCCTCCTCCTTGCCTTCTACCATGATTGTGAGGCCTCCCTAGCCATGTTGAACTGTGAGTCCAATTAAACCTCTTTATTTTGTAAATTGCCCAGTATGTCTTTGTCAGCAGTGTGAAATGGACTAATACAAAGTCTTTGCCTAAGCCTTATAGTATAGTTTGAAGTGAAGTGAAAAGTGAAGCCAGGTAATATGATGCCTCCAGATTTGTTCTTTTTGCTTAATCTTGGTTTGGCTGTGCTGGCTCTTTTTTGGCTCCTTATGATATTTGGGAGGTTTTTTTTTTTTTTTCTCGTTCTGTGAAGAATAATAATAGTACTTTGATGGGAATTACATTGAATTTGTAGATTGCTTTTGGCAGTAAGGTCATTTTCACAATATTGTGAAATGGGATATGTTTCCATTTGTTTGTGTTGCATATGATTTCTTTCAGGAGTGTTTTGTAGTTTTCCTTGGAGAGATCTTTCATTTCCTTGGTTAGGTATATTTGTAAGTTTTTGTTTTGTTTTTGTTTTTTGCAGCTATTGTAAAAGGGGTTGAGTTTTTTATTGGTTTTCAGCTTGGTTGCTATTGGTTTATAGCAGTGCTGCTGATTTGTCTACATTGATTTTGTATCCTGAAACTTTACTGAATTCATTTTTCAGTTCTAGGAGCTTTTTGGATGAGTTTTTAGGGTTTCTTTAAGTATACAATTATATCACCAGTGAACAGTGACAGTTTGACTTCGTCTTTACTGATTTGGATGCCTTTTATTTCTTTCTCTTGTCTGATTACTCTGGTTAGGACTTCCATTGCTATGTTGAATAGAAGCGGTGAAAGTGGGCATCCTTGTCTTGTTCCAGTTCTCAGGTGGAATGCTTTCAACTTTTCCCTGTTCAATATAATGTTGGCTGTGGGTTTGTCATGGATGGTTTTTATTACCTTAAAGTATGTCCTTTCTATGCTGATTTTGCTGAGGGTCTTATTCATAAATGGATGCTGAATTTTGTCAAATGATTTTATTTGCATCTGTTGAGATGATTCATGTGATTTCTGTTTTTAATTCTATTTATGTGGTGTATCACATTTGTTGACTTGTGTGTGTTAAACCATCCCTGCCTCCCTGGCATAGACCCCACTTGATCATGGTGGATTATCTTTTGATATGCTGTTGAATTTGGTTAGTTAGTATTTTGTTGAAAATTTTTGCATCTATGTTCATCAGGGATATTGGTCTGTAGTTTTCTTATTTTGTTATGTCCTTTCCTGGTTTCGATATTAGAGTGATACTGGCTTAACAGAATGATTTAGGGAGGATTCTCTCTTTCCCTATCTTTTGAAGCAGTGTCAACAGGATTGCTACCAATTCTTTGAGTGTCTAAAGTAATTCAATTTAAAGATACCTTAAAGCTCACCCAGCCAAACCTCCTTTCCATGGCAAAAACATTTTCTAAAGTACCAAAGATGGATGTGACCACCAACATTTTAAAAATGTTTTTAAAATATAATTTTAATTATTTTTGAAATTATGGAAAATTCAACAGCATAATAAATGCCTGACTTAACAAATGTTATCCTTTTACCTTTTTGATCTCAGATCTTTTTTAAAAATAAAACTTTACTGGCACAGGTGTGCATACATATGTATATATATATATATATATATATATATATATATATATATATATATATACATACACACATATATGTAATATTCTACATATGTATATGCTTATATTTGTAGTATTGCTTTTTGTTGCAAATTATACATAAATATTATCAATGGGGTATATATCTATTTGCAACTTGACTTTCTTCACTTATCATTATGTTTTTTTCCAGATTTTTTTTTGGTTAACACATATTATACTAACACATTTATTTCAATCATTTATATAACTATTTAGAACTTCAGTAAATGAATATATCTAGAATGCATATATAGTTTATTATCCAATGAAGATGTCTTTTGAAACTAAACTTGGTATAATTATATCAATATAATAGGCATAAATTAAGACTGTCCCAGGATGTAGGATCACTCTGAATATGCTAAAACATATGTATATTTCTGATCATTGACATTGTTTCCAATTTTCAGGTATTACAAGAAATGAAGCAGTATCTTCAAACATACTTTCTGGTGCCCAAATGAGAGAGTTTTTGCCAATATGCCAATGTAAGTTCTGAGCTGTAGATATGCATAATTTCAGTTTATTATGTATTGACGTATGGCTTTGAAAATTTATATCTCCGTTAGTTATGTATAGAACTTCCTTTTCTCCACATTCTCACCAACACTTATGGAATCACTTGGGAGGTAGGGTTTCATCATCATTATAATTTGTACTTCCTTGATTAACAATGAGATTGCACAACCTTCCATATGTTTATTAGCCATTTGGATTTCCTCTTCTGGTAAACAACTCATTTTTTGTGTCATTGTGTTTGAGTTAATCTCAAGTAAACAAAATATGCCTGTTTGTTTTTGTTTGTTTGTTTGTTTGTTTGTTTGTTTGTTGAGACAGAGTCTCGCTCTGTCGCCCAGGCTGGAGTGCAGTGGTGTGATCTGGGCTCACTGCAAGCTCTGCCTCCCAGGTTCACACCATTCTCCTGCCTCAGCCTCCCGAGTAGCTGGGACTACAGGTGCCCACCACCATGCCCAGCTAATTTTTTTGTATTTTTATAGAGACGGGGTTTCACCGTGTTAGCCAGGACAGTCTCGATCTCCTGACCTCATGATCTGCCCGCCTTGGCCTCCCAAAGTGCTGGGATTACAGGTGTGAGTCACTGCACCTGGCCTTGTTTTTAATCCTATTTAAAAACCTCTGTCTGGGTGAGTTTGAGCAATTTACATTTTTTGTAATTATAAATGTATTCCACTATATATTTTTTCTTGATCAACTGTGGTAACAGTTTATTAATGTTATTAATCTTTTCAAATAAATAGATTTTGGTTATAGACAAATTTGGTGAGAATTTATAACAACACGGGTCTTCCAAACCATAAAAACAGGGTATTTGTTCTCAATTTTCTCAGCAATGTTTTGTTAGCTTTATACCTCATAGTCACAATTTTTGAAGCTATTTTGAATATTTTGTAATTCATTTTCAATTTTTTGCTAATATATGTAAATACAATTTATTTTAATATATTTATCTTGCATGAGTTAATTTAGTAATAATGACTTTGATAATTTATTAATTCAAATTGTAGATTCTGGCTGTGTGTGGTGGCTCATGCCTGTAATCCGAGCACTTTGGAAGGCCGAGACAGGTGGATCACCTGAGGTCAGGAGTTTGTGGCCACCCTGGACAACATGGCAAAACCCCATCTCTACTAAAAATACAAAAATTAGCAGGTGTTGTGGCACTCATCTGTAATCCTAGGTACTCCGGAGGGTGAGACAGCAGCATTGCTTGAAACCAGGAGACAGAGGTTGCAGTGAGCAAGATCATGCCACTGCACTCCAGCCTGGGCGACAGAGCAAGACTCTGTCTCAAAAGAAAAAAAAATGTAGATTCTCATGATTTTTTATTTTACAAAACAATATGATTATTAATAAAACAGTTTGACTTTTTTCCTTCCAATGTTTATGCCTTTTATTTCTTTTCCTTCTCTTATTGCACTGGAGGACAATAGTTAATAGAAGTGGTAAAAACAAATATCTTTGCTTTGTTTCTGACCTCAAAGGGAACATGTTCAACATTTCCAATGTTAGAACATTGAGTATACTATCTGTAGGCTTTTTGTAGGTGGTTTTTATTAGATTAAGGAAGTTCTCTTCTATTCCTAGTTTGCTGATAATTTATATCATATATATGTGCTGAGTTTCATCAAAAGCTTTGCATCTATTAAGATAAACAAGTTTTCCCCAGCTTTATTCTGTTAATATGGTGTATTATTCCATTCTCACACTATTATATAAAGAACTGCCTGAGACTGGGTAATTTATGAAGGAAAGAAGTTTAATTGACTCACAGTTCCACAGACTGTACAGGAAGCATGGCTGTGAGGCCTCAGGAAACTTACAATTAAGGCAGAAGTTGAAGGGGAAGCAAGCATGTCTTGTCATGGCAGAGCAGGATAAAGAGTGAAGGGGAAGGTTCCATACACTTTTAAACAACCAGATCTCATCAGAACTTACTCCCTGTCATGGGAACAGCAAGAGAAAAATCTGCTCCCATGATCCAACCACCTTCTACCAGATGCCTTCCCCAACATTGGGAATTACAATTCAACATGAGATTTGGGTGGGGACACAGAGCCAAACCATATCATTCCACCTCTGAACTCTCCCAAATCTCATGTTCTTCTCACATTTCAAAATGCAATCATGCCTTCCTAACAATCCCCCAAAGTCTTAACTCATCCTAGCATTAACCCAAAAGCCCAAGTCCAAAGTCTCATCTGAAACAAGGTAAGTCCTTTCTGCCTATGAGCCTGTAAAATCAAAAACAAGTTAGTTACTTTCAAGATACAATGGGGGTACAGGCATTGCATAAATGCTCCCATTCCAAAAGGGAGAAATTGGCCAAAACAAAGGGGTTATAGGCCCCATGCAAGTCCAAAACCCAGCAGGTCAGTCATCAAGTTTTAAAGCTCCAAAATAATATCCTTTGACTCCATGTCTCACATCTAGGACATGCTGATGCAAGGGGCAGGGTCCCAAGGCCTTGGGTAGCTCTGCCTCTGTGGCTCTGCAGGGTACACACTCTGCAGCTGCTTTCGCATGTCAAGTTGAGTGCCTGCGGCTTTTACAGGTGCACAGTGCAAGCTACCGGTGGAGCTACCATTCTGGGGTTTGGAGGACGGTGGCCCTCTTCCCACAGCTCCACTAGGTAGTGCCCCAGTAGAGACTCTGTTTGGGGGCCCAGACCCCACATTTTCCCTCTGAACTGCCCTAGTAGAGGTTCTCCATGATAGCTCTGCCCCTGCAACAGACATCTGCCTGGACATTCAGGTGTTTCCATACATCCTCTGAAATCTAGGCGGAGATTCCAAAGCCTCAACTCTTGTCTTCTGCATACCTGCAGGCCCAACACCACATGGAAGTCACAAAGGCTTGTAGCTTGTACCCTCTGAAACAATGGCTTGAGCATACCTTGTCCTCTTTTAGCTGTGACTGGAGCTGGAGCAGCTGGGATGGAGGGTACCATGTCCTGAGGCTGCACAGAGCAGCAGGGCCCTGGGCCTGGCCCAGGAAACCATTTTCCCCTCCTACACCCCCAGGCCTGTGATGGGAGGGGATATTGCCAAGGTCTGTGCAATGCCCTGGAGGCCATTTCCCCATTGTCTTGGCTATTAACAATCAGCTCTTCTTTATTTATGCAAATTTATGCAGCTGGCTCGAATTCCTCCCCAGAAAATAAATTGTTTTTATCTACTGCGTTGTCAGGCTGCAAAGTTTCCAAACTTTTATGTTCTCCTTCCCTTTTAAATATAATTTCTAGTATCAGGTCATTTCTTTGTTTAGCAAATGAATGTAGGCTTTTAGAAGCAGCCAGGGCACATCTTGAATGCTTTGCTCCTTAGAAATTTCTTTCACCAGATACCCTAAATCATTTCTCTCAAGTTCAAAGTTCCACAGATCTCTAGAGCAGGGGCATAATGCCACCAGTCTCTTTGCTAAAGCATAGCAAGAGTAACCTTTGCTCCCGTTCCCAGTAAGTTCCTTATCTCCATGTGAGGCCACCTCAGCCTGGACTTCACTATCCGTATCACCATCAGCACTAGGAAGTTCTAAATTCTCCTTCATCTCTGTCTTTTCTGAGCCCTCAAAACTATTTCAACTCTTCCCATTACCCAGTTCCAAAGCTGCTTCCATATTTTCCAGTGTCTTTACAGCAATGTCCCACTTCTCTGGTACCAATTTTCTTTATTAGGCCATTCTCACACTGCTATAAAGAACTCTTGCTGCCATGAGAACAGCAAGGGGGAAATCCACCCCTGTTATCCAATCACCTCCCATCAGGCCCTTCCTCCAACAGTGAAGATCATAATTCAATATTAGATTTGGGTGGGGACACAGAGCCAAACCAGATAATGTGGTGGATGATATTGGTTGATTTTTCAATCCAGACCTGGGCAAAGAAACCCACTTAGTCGTAATATATTATGCCACTTATATATTGGTGGATTTGATTTGCCAATATCATGTTTAGGATTTTTGTATCTATGCTTAAGAGTGATATTGGCTTTTAACTTTCCTTTCTTGTAAAGCCCTTGTTATATTTTGATACCAAGAATACATTTGCCTAATACAATATTGAGAAGTGTTTACTTCTCTCCATCTTCTAAAAAAACGTATTTAAGATTCATATTCTTTCCTCAATGTTTGGAATAGTTCACTAGTCCATTCCTGGTATGAGTCATTTAATATTTTTTTCCCTTTGTGAGTCTTTCTAGTGGTTTAAAAATTAAACTTTTCTTAAAAAAGTTAGCTTTGTTGATTTTTATTGTATATTTACCTTCTATTTTGTTTAGTTCAACTCTTATTTTTATTTTCTTCTTTCTACTTTTTAAATGTTGATTTTCTCTTCTTTTCCTGGCTTCCTAAGTTAGAAGTTTAAATTATTGACTTTCAACCTTTCTTATTTTTTAATATATGTGTTTAAAGCTGTAAATTTTACTCTAAGTACTACTTTAACTGTAATCCACAATTTTTGGTGTCATATTTTCATTATTATTCAATTCAAAATATATACTAATTTTAATTTTGATTCCTTTTTTGATCCATATATGTGTTACTTAGAAGTCTGTTGCTTAATTTCCAAAATTTTGGAGATTTTCTAGTTATATATCTTTTAATGAGTTCTAATTTAACACCACTTGAAGTGGCTATACGCTTTCAATTTTTTTAAGTTTGTGTGTTGATATCTACTGTGTGTGCTAATGTGTGGTCTATTTTATTAAATGCTCCCTGTGCCTTGAAAAGAATGTGCATTCTAATGTGTTTGAGTAGAGTGTCCTATATATACATAAATTAAGTTAATTTGCTTGATTTTGTTGTTCAAATATTCTATATCCTTACTAACTTTTTTCTTTCTTGTTTGTTCTGTCAATTATTGAGATAGATGCATTAAATTCTAACTATAACTATGGATCTGTCTCTTTTTTCAGTTTTGTCAATATTTGCTTTACATATTTTTGATGGTGTATTATCAGATGCACATAAATTTAGGATTGTTATATCTTCCTATTGTATTAATCCTAATTTCATTATGAAATGTCCATCTTTGTCTTTCCTAGCAACATCAACTACAGTAATATCCTTTTCCATTCTTCACAATCAGCCAAACTTTGTCCTTCTAATATTTAAATCCAATCTGACAATCTTTGAATTTTAATTGAGGTATTTGGTCTACTTACACTTTATGTAATTAATAATAAAAGTTCTATTCAAATATAATATTTTGGGTTTTTTTCCATTTGTCCATTTATTCTCCTATACCTGCTTGTTTTTGAATTAAGTAGATATTTTTATTTCTATTTATTTATTTAGAGATGGAGTATTGCTCTGTCACCCAGGCTGAAATGCAGTGGCATGACCTTAGCTCACAGCAACCTCTGCCTCCCAGGTTCAAGCAATTCTCTTGCCTCAGCTTCCCAGGTAGCTGGGACTACAGGCATGAGCCACCACTGCCAGCTAACATTTTAATATTTTCAGTAGAGACAGGGTTTCATCATATTGGCCAGGCTGGTCTCAAACTCCTGATCTCAAGTGATCCACTTGCCACAACCTCCTGAAGTGCTAGGGTTACAGGCATGAGCCACCACACCTGGCCTCATTTTATCTCTCTGTTAGCTTTTCAGTTATACAGTTTCGAATTATTCCTTTAGTAGTTACCCAAGTGATTACAATGTACTTCTCATATATCATATGATAATCCACCTTAACTTAGAAATTTAGCAATTTATGAATAACGCAAGAAGTTTACAATTTTATAGTTGTTGAATTCTACTAGTCCTCTCTCCCCAAGCTTGGACTTTGTGCTAGAGTGGTCACATTTTTGCTTTTATATTTATTATATACCCCAGAAGATGATGCTATTAATGCTGTATTATGCAGTCGATGTTATTTTGTATTTACCTATATATTTATCATTCCAGGTGCTCTTCATTTCCTCTTGTAGATCTATTTTTTATTCTAGGATAATTTCTTTAGCCTGAAAAAAAAAATTCCTTTAGGGTAGGTATGCTGGCAACCAATTATTTTAGCTTTTGTTTATTTGCAAACATCTTAATTTTGCCTTCATTTTTAGAAGATACTGTCTCTAAGTATACAAATATAGATTAATTTTTTTTCTATTTTGTTTTTTTCTATTTATTTTATTAATGTCATTTATTTGTCTTCTGGCTATAGTTTCTGCTGAAAATTTAATCACCAGTTGCATTGTTAATTCTTTAAAGTGTTCCCCCACTACCCAATTCCATTGCTGGCTGCTTCTGAGACTTCTTCTTTGTCTTTAGTTTTCATTGTGTGACTCTGGTATGCCTACAGTACTTTTACTTGTATTTACTGTCATTGGGATTTCATGAATTCTTGGATTTGCGAGTTGGTGTCCTTCATCAGCTCTTCAGCATTCTCAAGTATTATCTCTTCAAATATTGCTTTTACTCCCTCTCTCTCTCTCTCTCTTCTTATCCTGTGATCTTAGGCATACATAGTAGACTATCTCACTGCTTCATATATTTCTTATGTTCTTTTCTAGTTTTCTCTGTGTAGTTCAATTTTTGTCTATTGATCAGTCCTTGAGTTCAATAATCCTCTCCTCTGCTGTGTCCAGTGTACTGTAAAATTCCAACTACCAAGATTTTAATTTCAGATATTATAATTCTAGTTTTAGAATGTCTACTTGATTATTCTTCAAATTTCATTTTTTGTTCAGAGTCTACATTTTTTTCATCTTTTCCTTTATTTTCTTTTAAATATTTATATTGGTTGTTTTAGCATCCTCTGCTAACTCCAATATCTGTATCATGAACAAATGTATTTCCAGTCTTTTGTTTTCTCTCAATCATTGTTCACATTGTCATGCCTCTTAATATGACTCATATTTTTTAATTGTATTGTGGATCTTGTATGTAAAAGACTATAGAGACTGTAGATTGCAGATGATAATACTTATTCCCCCAAAATAATTCCTTCTTTTGTTCGTTAGATAGGTTAAGGTGAGAGTATGGTGACCTCAATTCTGTTATTAATTTGTGGTTTTAGTAAGACTAGACTATCTCTGCTTTGTTTCCATTCCTCATTTGTGACCCTCTGAAGCTTTTGAATGACAATCTATCAAGTCCTAAAATACTATGTAAGATTCAGTCTTGTCATAAAGAGTTTTCGAACTTATCTTTTTAGCTTTCTGTTCCATGCAGCTTCTAAATATAGCAATTATTTTGACTCTCCAACTCTGATGGGATTTTATCTCCTAAGTCCTCCAAGGTGACAGAGAGTTTACTCTGATTTTTGAAAGTTTTCAGCCCAGCCTAGCTCCCTCTGCATCCTTAGAACTCAGCAAATATACTGCTGGAAAAAGTGGCTATGCATTTCAATCCTTTACATTCCTATCTAAAGTTTCATTCTTTTCTTTTTCCCTCAGTAGAGTTGCTGAGCCGAGGCTAAGCCATATTTTCCATTCTCACTTGAAAATGATATTACTCCCTTAAAGAAGAACATGGCAGGTGATTGTCATCTCACCTAGAAATTGCTGTCTGGGATTTTATTTCAACTACTTTTTGTTGCTTTCATGTCTCCTTGATTTAAAAAAATTGATTTTTATAAGAAATCTTTTCTAGTTCCTGTACTGGCAGTAGTGATCTGATAGTGTCAACTACGTCCTTTCCACAAGCAGAAGCCTATTTGGTTGTGTTTTTAATATCTTATTTCATGTATTTTTTTCTATCATTATACTTTTTCTTTGTTGCTTTTTATTTTTTATCTTTTCCTATGTTTATTGATTTGACCTGCTTGTTTGGAATACATAGATATAATCTATATCTTTATAGATTATTCATTCTTTAATGGTTAACTTTAAATTTTTAACGTGTACCCATGAGTTAAGAAAACCTAAGGTTAATCTTCCATGTTTATTTAATTAATTTTGAAAACATTAATAATTATTTGTGTCAGTTGATTCTAACTTCTGTCAAAAGCTTAGTTTAGTGATTTGCTTTTCAGGGATTGGATCTTACTCCGTTGTCCGGGCTGGCAAATCCTCCCTCCTCAGCTTCCCAGGTAACTGGTTTTATAGGCAAAGAACACTGGGCATGGCTTAGTTTAGTAATTTCTTACTTATTGTTACTTCCACCATCTTATTTCATCCTTCTTGTTCAATTTAGTTATTTCTGATATGGGTTTTTAATAGTTTATTCAGTGAGAGATAGTAAGTTATAAAAATATATTGTCTTCATCCAAAACATTCTTTATTTCACCCTCATTCTTGAAAACTGATTTGTCTGTTTACAGATTTCTAGGTTGTAAATTATTTTCTTTTTGCCTTTTGAGAAGAGAGTATTCTAGAGTCTTCTGTCCTTCCTTTTCCCTATTTTGCGAAAAATCAGTCCTCTATTTTTCATCTATTGAGATGTCTTTTGTTAGGCTATTTTTTCTTTATCCTCATATTGTTCTTAAAATTTTATTCCAGAACACTAGTATTTTATTAAAATAGACTTTCATTACAATATACTTAACTGTTTATTTATTTTTTTTTGTCTTTGTCTCATGTACTTCTTCAGTCTGAGAACACACAGATTTCTTCAATTCTGGAAAATCCTTATCAATTATATGGAAATTGCCCCTCCCCCATTCTCCATAATCTCTCCCTCTGAAATGCTTATCAGCTGCAAACCTGATTTTTTCATTTTACTCTCTATATCTCTTAACCTGTCTTTGATATTTTTCTACCCCTAACTCTCCATACTATGTTCTGAGTGACTTCTTCACATGTATATTTAAAGTCTCTTACTTTTTTCTTCCACTGTGCCTAATCTGAGTTCAATAAGTACTTCTTGTTATTGCTTTTATTTTCTATGTATGACCTATAAGATGAGGGGAGTTGATTAAATATTGCTGATATCCCTTTTCGCCCTTATACACAAAAATTCAAAATTGACTAGATTTTTCTAATTTTTTTCTGAATAGAGGATCAGTGTCTCACATAATTTTCATTTCAAGGCTAGATAATTCTACAGCTGTCAAATTCTCATAAATAATCTATAGGGCATTAGACGATCTTTTTTTTTCAACTGAGGAGTAGAATAAATAAGGAGAGAAGAAATTGCCCATCAGAGAATTCAGTGTTATACTGACAAATGTCTAGCCTAAGAAATATGAATCTTTAAGGCAGAGAAAGCAAAGGAGGGGCTTAAGGACTCCAGTCTAGGTATTAGATTAATTTAAATGCTATTGTATCCCCAGCACTTGGTCTTAATTGTTTCTTCTTGAACACTCAATACCTGTATTCATGTTGCCTGGCCTCAGGGACACAGAGCAGTACACTGTCCCACGGAAAGGAAATGAAAAATCAGCTGATGCTAAACAGATCTCCTTCAGCAACTACAGCCATCTAAGCACTGCATCCTGCAGAGTGATTAATGATTTTTCTTTGCTTTTACATTTCAAAACAATGTGGTTCAGAAAAGAAAGGAGAAAATAGAACGAAGAAGGAGTTTGAGAAAGAGAAGACAGAGATGTAAAAGCAAAAAAGAAGAAACTATATGAGAGGAGAGGGAAAAAAAGTGATTGCTCAATAGAAACTGGAGAATTGACCAGAACTGTAATTTTCTCCTCATCTATAGAGGAGACATTCTCCTCTATCATAAGAATGTCAAGTTATTTAGGTCTATCCTACTTAAATCTACTGAATCATTCTACTAAAATATATAAAGAGAAAGGAAAGCAGAGCTTCTGTATCCCCCTATAAAATTTGTTTTTAAGTTATCTATTCCCAACCTCAAAATGAAATGAAGCTTCATGATTACTCTCTACAACTGTACCTTAATGGTTGTACTTTAATAGTTTAAATACATTGAGGGGGCAAATAATTGAAAGAAATTACATTTGGCACATTGATACCCTTTCTTCCTCTCTGCTTCAACCAGGCCACCTATTTCTTATTAATGATTTTTTTTTTTTTTTTTGTATAAGGGATATGAGGTTGCAACATCTGTCATCTCCTTTATTGCCATAGTTGATTTTCCAGATCTGACTGCCTAGGCCAGTGTCTGCTTTATCCTTCACTTCCCCAAGTGTGTCAAATATTTCTGCAACGTAATAAAAACTTCTGCCAAGGCCTTATACATTACGAGAACTAGTTCTTTTTCATCAGCATCAGCCTAGGCTAAAGGTACAAAAGCTATTTCCTTTCTTCATTTTCAGTGCTGACTCTGGGTTTACATGCATTGTATTCTCAACAGCTTCCCATTAGGCTATAGATCTCTTGTTAATACAGATTCCATATACTAGGGTCTGAAGGCTGTGTCAGGGATGACTCCTGGAAAGAATTTTTCAGGGCAACTTGGCAGAAAGAAAACGAGAAGAATATTTAGAGGTATTTTGTGCAGTTAGGTTTTTAAGCAGCCAGTCCAAGAATCAAACATTTGTGCACATGAGAAAAAGTAGATTTGCTTGGCTAGAATAGAAAGTAATTATAGGTCAAAGATCAGTCATAAATAAGAACAACAATACTGGGAGACATTAGTGGACAGCCTTAAAGACCAGCATGAAGAATTTGCATCTGATTAAGTAAAGACAACAGAAAACTATGTAAATTTCTGAGAGCCCATTAATAGATCAAAGATGAGAGATACATTCTTACCAGTCAAAGCATTGGATTATAATTTGATCAAAATGTTTGAGAAATAAGACCCTTTCTACTATGTAAAGGGCAGTCAGAAGGTGCAGGCAGCTGGCAAGAGGGATGATTTTGTAATTTTGTAATATTCTAGGTGTCATGTGATTAGAGAAGGCTCAGACTAGAATATTGACTAAAAAGTGGTAGGGAAGGATGGCTCCAAAAGGTACTTGAGATGAAGAATTAGAAGGATACACAATAGTCATGGGAGTGCTAGAGGAAGAAACCTGGAATACTCCAACGTGGTCTGCCAGGAGAGTAAGATGGTGGCGTGCCAGTGATAGGGATGGAAAATTTGGAAGGAGTGACGGTCCTGTCTAAGCTGCAGTATGAGTCTCCTTGTCACCTCTTTATTAATGCAGGTTTTATGACACAGGTGTAATAATTAATCCAAATGGCTTGCAGATGTGGCTATCCATCTTTGAGCATACTGGCCCCAAACAGTCTTCCAATCAGCAAATTCTCAAGTAAGGCCAAAGAAAATTAAAGAAAATAAATTCTGTTGAGATATTTATGGAGGCCACCTGGATAAAAATTTGACAGCTGAGAACTTGCCTGGATGCCAGGCAACTAAAGAAAGGTCAGAGCCCATGGAACAATAAGGCTTCGGAGGCCAAGGAACAGAAATGGAGATAGAGAAGTGTTCTGTCACATTCTATCTTTAAAAGTTTAGAAGTGGAATTTTACTTTGCAGGGAAAAGCATTGATAAAGTCTTGGTATTCTCTGTATTCTTTGAAGAAACCTGCCTTTTCTTCTTGACAAAGGTCCTGGTATTTTCTTGAATTGTACTCTCCATTCTGACTATATCAATCAACCAATAGGGGCTTTGTTTATATGTTAGAAATTTCTTCTCCATTTCTACTACTACTTTTTGATTTATGATCTTAAATCACCATCCCAATGTATCTAGTCTCTGACAAGCCCCCTTGCCTTCATTCTCTTCCCTGTCTTGCGACAGCAATTGTTCTAAACTGCAGTTTTTTTCATACGACTTAACTGTTTGAAAACATTTAGCACTTCCCTATTGCCCACAGGATAAAATATAATCACTCTTGCTTGTTTATTAAAGTCCCAACTTAGGTTAGACTCAATCTATCTTTCTATTCTCATTGTATACTACCAGTACCTCTACTACATGATCCCGCTGCTTCAGACAAACTAATTGATTCCTATCCTTCAAAATGATTCCTGCCCAACCCCCCACCCCCATGCCATCGCTTGCTGCTTATCCACTGCCCAAATGACTGGAAACTCCTTTCTCTACACCTGTTCAACACTGTAATGTCACACTTTAAGGACCAACTCACAGCCTACTTTTATTTATTTGATCATTCAACAAATATTCATTACATTAAAATTATGTGCCAGGCACTTTCGTAGGCTATAAGAATACAGTGGTGAAATGATAGACAGTCATTGGACTCATGGAGCTTCATTCTAAATGGGAGAAATAACAGAAAATAAATAAGCCACAGAAAATAAAGAAAACAAACTGAGACAATGAAAAGAACTACGTGAAACTGACATATCTTTCAGTTCCTAAAGATGGGGTAAACACATTCTACCCTGTTTCTCCTAATGAATACGCCTATAAAACCTAGATAGGATGCATGCAGCAACAATTTCAGAATGTTGAAAAGTAAATGGCAGCAGGCATATTTGGGAAGAAGACCAGAATTATGAGTATCATGAAGCAGCAATAGGCTTATTATTTTACCCAGTACCCCAGTGTCCCCCAGACTAAACTCAATGTACTAGAAATCCAGAAGTGGACATCAAAGTGCAGACAGAGAGAACACCAGGGAAAACTATTTCTGACTCAAGATGTAGGGAAAGACAAATAATAATTCATAAATAGAGAATGTAGAAATCCCCCCTAATGTTTTTTCTTTTTCTGGTTTTTCACTTCCCACACAATCACACAGTGGCAGTGGCAGTGGAAGGTCATAGAAACCCACAGGAGCCAAAACTCTAAGGGGAGGGAACACCCATCACCATTCACTTGAGCTGTGGTTCCAAGAGGGTAGGGGCCCATATATTTTGCATGGTTTTCTCTCATTGTTCTCCTTGTTCTTGCCCCATATGTAGGTGCAGTTGTAAAAGCTTGTCATAGATGGAAAAACTATAGCCCTAGCTTTCCCACAAGAGCACCAAAAAAAGAGGAGCTCTTTGTCCTTGTGATAGTTTGCTGAGAATGATCATTTCCAGCTTCATCCATGTCCCTACAAAGGACATGAACTCATCAACTTTTATGGCTGCATAGTATTCCATGGTGTATATGTGCCACATTTTCTTAATCCAGTCTATCACTGATGGACATTTGGGTTGGTTCCAAGTCTTTGCTATTGTGAATAGTGCTGCAATAAACATACGTGTCCATGTGTCTTTATAGCAGCATGATTTATAATCCTTTGGGTATATACCCAGTAATGGGATGGCTGGATCAAGTGATATTTTTAGTTCTAGATCCTTGAGGAATTGCCACACTGACTTCCACAATGGCTGAACTAGTTTACAGTCCCAGCAACAGTGTAAAAGTGTTCCTATTTCTCCACATCCTCTCCAGAACCTGTTGTTTCCTGACTTTTTAATGATCACCATTCTAACTAGTGTGAGATGGTATCTCATTGTGGTTTTGATTTGCATTTCTCTGATGGCCAGTGATGATGAGCATTTTTTCATGTGTCTGTTGGCTGCATAAATGTCTTCTTTTGAGAAGTATCTGTTCATATCCTTTGCCCAATTTTTGATGGGGTTGTTTGTTTTTTTCTTGTAAATTTGTTTGAGTTCCTTGTAGATTCTGGATATTAGCCCTTTGTCAGATGAGTAGATTGCAAAAATTTTCTCTCATAGGTGGGAATTGAACAATGAGAACACTTAGACACAGGAAGGGGAACATCACACACCAGGGCCTGTCGTGGGGTGGGGGGAGTGGGGAGGGATAGCATTAGGAGACATACCTAATGTAAATGACGAGTTAATGGATGCAGCACACGAACATGGCACATGTATACATATGTGACAAACCTGCACGTTGTGCACATGTACCCTAGAACTTAAAGTACAATAATAAAAAAAAAAGAAAAAAAAAGAGGAGCTCTAAGGATATGGAAAGTATCAGGGAGATTTCTCAGACAGAGGAAATCAGAAAAACAACCCCAGCAAGCTATTTGTGAATTCCCGGACCCACCCCGAGGCTATGCATGCATGGATTTGATCGTAGCCAAATACCAAAGACTTTGCGAACTGAATTAACAGGTCTTAGATTGGGCAGTGCACATGAAGGAGAGATCTGAATACCATTTCAATGGCTTTGAAAGTGAACTGACATTGTAACAACAGCCTATAGAAGGTGGGTTGGAAATTGCCCCCCGAATCTAACCAGGTCAACTGCCTAGAAAAGCAAAAAATATTAACATTCTTTATAGGTTTTAAACAAGTATCATGATATTCTACTCAAAATTTCAAGAATAAAATCCAAAATTACTCAACATATGAACCAGGAAAATCTCAAATTGCATGAGAAATATAATCAATAGATGCCAACATTTAGATGACAAAGATTCTACAATTATCTGACAAATACTGCAAAGCAGTTATTATTAAAAAGCTTCAGCAAGCAATTGACCACACTTTTGAAACCAATGGAATAATAAAATGTTGCAGCAAAGAAATAGAAGATGTAAAGAATAAGTTATGAAAGTTTTAGAACTGATCAATACAGTTACCAACATTTTTTTAAAAGCTTACTGAATATGTTGAATAGCAGAATAGAGATATCAGAAAAGCCAGTCAACTTAAAGATAAATCAATAAAAATTATTCAATGTGGAAATCAGAGAGGAAAGAAAGACTGAAAAAATAAAACGATATAGCCTTGGAGACATGTAGGATGATTTTAAAAAGACCTAATATTTGTTTCATTGGAATGCCAAATAAGAGGAAAATGATGCATGCTAAAAAAAAAAAAATTAAGAACACAAAGGCCAGAAACTTCTCAAATTTGGTGAAAAACACAAGGCCACTGACTGATGGAGCTCAGTAAACTCTAAACAGAATAAACCTAAAGACTTTATACCCAGATATATTATAATCAAAAACGCTAAAAATTGGAAACACAACAAAATATCTTGAAAGCCGACAGAGAAACACAATGCATTAGTTTTAGGGCTAGAATGATTTTAAAGATTGTGATTTTCTCAGAAACCGTGGAGCCAGAAAGAAGTGGTATATTTTTAAAGTACTGAAAGAAAATAACTATCAACTCAGAAGTCTATATCCAGTGAAAATATCCTTCAAAAATGAAGGTGAAATAAAGACCTGCACAGATAAAGGAAAACTAAAAGAATCTGTTGCCATCAGACAGTTTAAAACAAACATCATTCACATTATCTTATGGAGTTTTCAAGGTACATAAAAGTAATATATGAAATATCTATAGCATAAAATTCAGAGAGGAAAGGGAATTATTTGGTAATAAGATTTTAACATTTCACAGGAAGTGACCATTTATTGACTATAAGTAGATGGTGAAAAGTTATATATAATATAATATATATATGTAGTACTCCTGAGAGCAACCACTTAAAAAGCAAAGAGATAAAGAGATAAGGCTAGAGAGATAAAGTCCAATCTCAATAGATAAATTAAAATGGAATACTAAAAATGTGGAAATAGCCCAAAAGAAGATAGGAAAAAGAAAAATAAAAAACAGAGGTTACAAGCAGAAACCACATAGTAAATGGTATACATCAATCCAAACTTATCAATAATTATATGATATAAAATGATAGTTGAAAAATCCAATACTCTATGTACTGGAAGTATCCAATACTCTATATAAATAGACCCTCTTTTCTACATATAGAGAGTATTGGAAGGATCCAATACTCTCTATAAAATGATAGTTGAAGAATCCAATACTGATAGAAAATCAGTAAGACTATAGAACATCGGTCAATCAACTATGGCTCACAGGCCAAATACAGCCCATAGCTTGTTGTGTAGAGCCCACAGGCTAAGAATGCTTTTTATATTTTGTAAAGGTTGTAACAACAACAACATAAAGAACATGTGGCACAGACTGTATATAGCACACAAGCTTAAAAACTATACTTTCTTGCCCTTTACAGAAAATGTTTATAGGCACTTAATACAGAAAAACTGAAAAACACCATCAAACAATTGGGTCTCATAACATTTATAGAACACTCCATCCTAACACAGCAGAATATACATTTTTTAAAGAGCACATGGAACATAAACCAAAGATAAGTCACATTCTGTCTTATAGAACACACCTTAAAAATGTAAAAGAATTCAAGTCATAGAAAATATGTTCTCTGACAATGATGGAATTAAACTAAATATAAAATTAAAAAAACAACAGAAAAATTTCCAACCCCTTGAAAGTCAAACAGTACACTTTTAAATGACCTATGGGTCCGATAGGTAGTCTCAAGGAACTTTGAAAATGTGCTGAACTGAATAAAATTGAAAATACAGCATATGAAAATTTGTTGGCTATGGCTAAAGCGGTGCTTAGAGGGAAACATATAGCACTGAAAGCTTATATTAGAAAAAAGAAAGACCTCAAATCAATAAACTTTCTTTCCACCTTAAGAAACCAGAAAAAGAAGAGCAAAAAAAACCCAAGGCTATCACAGTGTGGCATTGCAAAGGGACAGAGGCATAGATCAGTGGGCAAGAACAGACTCACACAAATATGGCTGTTTTATTTTTGACAAAAGTACAAAAATAAATCAATCAAAGTACAAAAAATAAATCAATAAAGAAAGGATGGTCTTTTAAACAAATGATTTAGAAACAACTGCACATCTATATAGAAAAAAAAAAACCTTTGTCTTCCATTTCTTATCTTATATGGAGATTAACCCAAGATGATTCATAGAGCTAAATGTAAAACCTAAAAGAAAACATGGAAGATAATCTTCATGTCCAGAAGTTATGTACAGAGTTCTTAAATATAACATGAAAAGCTGATATATAAAATTAATAATTGATAAATTGGAGTTAATCAACATTTAAAACTTTTGCTTCACTAAAGATCCTGTTAAAATAGTGAAAAGACAAGCTACTGGTTAGAAGAAAAATTCACAAATCATTCATTTGAAAACCAGAACTTGCATCCAGATTATATATAAAGGCACCTCAACACTCAACCTCAACACTTACACTGATCTGTAAGTGAAATGGCCTAGGCTCTACAGGCCAGGGCTACATCATTTAACTGTATATTGGCCAAATAAAACAAAATAGTCCACATTCTCTAGAAGGGAAAGTGAAGGGAGTTATCAAAATCTCTGGGAAAAGGGGAACACATGTAGCTAGAAAGAACATGTTCTAATTTGGCTGTAACTTTAATAGTCACACTAAAAGAAAAGAAAAGAAAAGAAAAGAAAAACAATCTGGGACACATGACTGCTACATACTTTTCAACAAACAGAATATATAGATGGCAATAATTACTTACATAAAAGGGTATCCAACATCATTAGCTGTCTGGGAGATGCAAATTAAAGCCATTAGATACCACTATCCATCAATTAGAATGGCTGATTTTTTTTAACCCTAAACACTGGCAATATCAAATCGTGGTGAGAATGTAGGGCCACTGAAACTCTCATACATTGCTGATAGGAATGCAGTGTTGTACAGCCACTCTGGAAAACAGCTTGGAAAACTCCTAGAGCCCTGACAACCACTGGTCTGTCCTCCATAACTACTAGTTCTGTCTTTTGCGAATGTCATACAAATGAAATAATATAGTATATAATCTTTCAAAATTGGCTTATTTTTTACTCAACCTAATGTCTTGGAGTTTCAACCAAGTTGCCCCATATATGATTGGTTTGTTCCTTTTACTACATGCAAGTTCTGCTTTTCAAATATGTGATTTGTGAATTTTTCTTCTAACCAGTAGCTTGTCTTCTAACAAGTAGCTTGGCTTTTACGTAATGTTAAGTGGTACAACTCCTTGAAAACGCCATGTCTCTCTAGAAGGTAAGTCCTTGCCTTTCATGAATAAGAACAAATTTACTATTTTACTCCTTTCTTCCTTCCTGTTCAATGTTCTTGCTTAGTTAAAAGAGTTAAAAGAGCTCACTTTAGAATCTGCCTAATGATTTAAGAAATACAGTTACCTTTTCATTTTGAAAGGCAAGAAAAAGACTTTGCCTCTCCCTTGACATGCATGTAAATAGCTTTAAGACAGTAAAATATCCCAGGAGGAAAAAAGGGTGGAAGAAAATATGGACAAATCATTGCACCTGCATTTGAGTACAAACATAAATGATGGAGTGATAGATATCCCCATAGAGGTGTTCACACGGGAATCTCCTTCTCCATTTACTGATTTGTTCCACATCTAATTATTAAACAACTGCTTTGTACCACTGTTCTCAGTATTGATCTAAATAGGCTATGCTAATCAACAAATAAAATGGGATTTTGAGTTCTTAGTAAAATTACACAAAGAAAGCACTATCATATCTATTGCTGCAACAGAAATACTTTGCACTGTATTTGGAGGAAGTGAGAGAGACCCTCCTCCCAAGCCTATTGGTGATGCTTGGGTAGTAACTCAGAAAGCCAGAGCTAGAAGGGATCTTATGAGCACAACCTTTTCCTTTTAGAAATGAAAAAACTGAGGTCAAGAATGGGAACTTGGTCAGGGTCGCATAGCCTATTAGTAGTAAAACCATATGGGAACCTAGATATCTTTACCTGACATCTGTTGCTTTTCCCTGATCTACCTTATTGCACATTTCAAGGAGGCCAGCAAAATATCTCCCTGCAAAGAGTTTAGCTGTCTGAACCTGGAATCAAGTTTGAGTTAGTTTCCTTGTTCCTGTTCTCTACCATGCTTAAAGACTTTGGTGGTCTTTTTCCTATTAATTTTATTTTGTTAAGTCTTCAATTATCCTGTGAGTCTCCAAGGCTTGGCCTGGCTTGACTTATCACATGGATTACCGTGCATTGGCAATTTGCCCCTACTCAGCAATCTCTGCCTTCTGAAACATGTCTTCCTGCCAATCCCAATGCAAACCATCTTTTCTACTTTTGTCTTACCTTTGGGCATCTGCTATTATTTATCACTTACTCATCTGACTATTTGTCTACTTCAAAATGCATTTCAGAGCTAGTGTATCTCACACTGATCTATAAGTGAAATGGCCTAGGCTCTACAGGCCAGGGATGCATTATTTAACTGGATATTGGCCAAATAAAACAAAATAGTCCACACTCTCCTAAATATCCAGAGTAGAATTGAAAGGAGACTCTGAGGCTTTCCAGAACAAAGAAGCCTGCAAAAATTGCATGTTGGACGTATGCGAAAACCAAGGCAGCTCTTTCAAACTCCAAAATACCTACAAAGAGCTTCCCCAAATATATTTGGAGAAAGAAGACAGGTAGGATAGCTATGATGATGCTCAGGAATAAAAACAAAGTGACAAGGCAGCTGTATGACATTTTATCTTGATATTTATTGAGAAAGTTGTTTTTAGTAAAATTTTCACTCTCACGTTATTTTCTGAAACGGCCATCCCAGTATCATTAGGTCAGAGAGGGCCCTCTCCACTCCAGTGATCCCTGCTGAGACCCCACCCCCATCCCAGACCATACGATAATGGACAGAGAATGGGCACATAGCCCTGTTACCAAAAAGTCATATCTGGAATCAAGAAACAGAATGCAAAATTGGGAAAGAAAATAAACCCCAAATGCAGTATAGTAATAAAGAATGTCCAAATGATGAATTTTGTTTATAGTATCTCTTTAAAATTCACTGGATCAATTCAAATGTCTATTTACCACAATATACTATTAACAGTTTGAAAAGAGCTATTAATTACCTCATTTGATTATTATTTTATATATACTTGTTTAGCAAGGACTGGGATTGAAAACATGCCAAATGGATTTCCATTGAGCACTGTGTAGACCTTCTTGCTTATAATTCCCATATTAGAAGAAAGCTTCACACTGAGCATCTGAAAAAAAAAAATAGAACCCCACTGGCAGGTTCCCCTTCAATTTAAAAGGGTGCACAAGATCACTGGACAGAAAAGGAGTTAATGTCGTTTTGTTAAAATAATCAGCAACATTAGGGCCATATAGAGTATTGATAGAGGGTGGGGGTTGGAAGAGATGAAGTACCACCTTAGAAGGTTCAAAGAGGGGGAACTTTATTGGAAAAGCAATCAGCCATACTTTGTTTCTGTTATTTCTCACTTGGAGGGTGCAAATTACTCGGCTTCTTCCTCTTGACCTACTCTGCCTCTTTTGGCTTTTCCTAAATCTAGTCAGAAACTACTTGATTATCTACTACTTTCAACCTCCACAAATTTTCATATTTCTCATTCATTATTGTCTCATTTTTATTTTATTTATTTATTTATTTACTTATTTATTTATTTATTTATTTTGAGATGGAGTCTCACTCTGTCGCCCAGGCTGGAGTGCAGTTGTGGGATTTCGGCACACTGCAATCTCTGCCTCCCGAGTTCAAGCGATTCTCCTGCCTCAGCCTCCCGAGTAGCTGGGATTACAGACATGTGCCACTACACCTGGCTAATTTTTTTGTATTTTTAGTAGAGATGAGGTTTCACCTGTTGGCCAGGCTGGTCTTGAACTCCTGACCTCAGGTGATCTGCCAGCCTCGGCCCTCAAACTGCTGGGATTACAGGCGTGAGCCACCGTGCCTGGCCTTTATTTTATTTTTAATCATTATTTCTCTTTTCACATTTATTCATGTTTGTGAGTTTGAGCTTAAAAGAATTCCTTTACTATCATTATACAGATATTTCAGGTGCATAGATAAAAATGGGGAAATTCTGATAAGCCAATATGTTAGCCACCAACAGTGTGAAGCAGACTCTATCATGTTTTACCAGTAAAACTTTGATTTGAAAAATGTAGTTTCCAATTGTCCTCTTCATGTCTATAAACATTTTAACAAAACTGTAGAAATATAAAACGAAAGATCGTTGATATCTTGTACAAATACAAACTAGACATTGCTTATCTATCCACATATTTGACAGTGCAAATCTAAATTCTGGTGAATTCAATTCAGTTAATAAACTTCTTTCTACAGAAAATAAAAAGATCTTACATACTAAATGCCCTACCGACACCTTCTACACAACATTTCTAAAAGGAGATATGATTTTACCTGTAATACTGAAACTTTTGTAATAAAACATTTTGGTTACTATTCAGTTTACTTAAAGTATGTAGAAGCATTTTCTGAGATTTTTTTTACTGTATAGAGAGTAAAGGAGACAGCCTTCTTAGACATGTACATACAAGATGGCTATCAGTGCTGTCAGCCATAGAAAAGTTGTTAACAGGTTGGCCTGGAGTAAAAGCGTATTTCAAATTGTGAGATAAGAAGAGTATTCTTCTCTAATTTACAAATATATTGAGGATGAGTATGGAGACAATAATTACAGTAAAACAGAAGTTTATATGCTATTTTTCCAAAACTGTTCGATCTTTGAAGAGCCCATAAGGATCCTACATAAGGATGAACTAACTATATATGAGTTATTTAATGTTATGTAGGTTGTGGCAAAAGTTCGTACTGAAAGAAAAAGACTTTTTTGGGTGGTGGAGAATAAAGCCGATTTAGAGGAAGGAAGGAAGGAAGGAAGGAAGGAAGGGGAAGGGAGGGAGGGAGGGAGGAAAAGGAAGAGAGGGAGGAAAAGGAAGGAAGGGAGGGAAGGAGGGAGGGACAAGAAAAGGACAGTAAAGTTAAATACAACTTTCTTAATTTCTTTGCTAAAATTATAGCTTATTTTGAATCCAAGTTAAATTTAATAAGTTCAAATAATCTCTATACTTTAAAACAATTTTCTCTGAGAAAAGCTTAACTTATGATATATTCAATGTGCTTTGGAGTGTTTAGAAATGATCACCCTTTTAGATGCAAATAGTGCATTAGTTTTCTATTGCTCCATAACATATTACCACAAACTTAGCAGCTTAAAAAAATCACTTCCTTTTTTTTTTTTTTTTTTTTTTAGAGACAGGTTCTCACTCTGTTGCCCAGACTAGAGTGCAGTGGCGCCATCTCGACTCACGGCAACCTCCACCACTCAGGCTCAAGCAATTCTCCTGCCTTTGCCTCCCGAGTAGCTGGGATTACAGGTGCATGCCACTACTGCCCAGCTAATTTTTGTATTTTTAGTAGAAACAGGGTTTCACCATGTTGGCCAGGCTGGTCTCAAACTCCTGACCTCAAATGATCCACCTGCCTTGGCCTCCCAAAGTGCTGGGATTATAGGCATGAGCCACCATGCCCAGCCCAAAAATACTCATTTCTTGTCTTACAGTTCTGTAGATCAGAAGTTTGAGCATTTTGTTACTGGGTTCTCTGCTCAAGGTCTACAAGTCGGAAATCAGGGTCTCAGCCACTCATGATCCTCATCTAAGCTCACAGGTCTTTGCTTTCTCTGTTGCTCTTGTGTGGGGATCCCTCCCAGCTTCTAGGAGCTGTCTGTTGTCCCCTGCCCTTGTGGCCCTCTCTGCAACATAAGAATTTTCTTCTCCATGGCCAGCAAGAGAGTGTCTCTTGTTTTAAATCTCTTCCTACAGGAAAGCCCCACTTTTTCAAGGAGATTGATTAAGTCAGGCCCACCAAGGATAATTTTCCTTTTGATTAATTCAAAGTCAACTGAATTTAGATATTGTTTTTTTATTATTTTTATATATTTTTATTATACTTTAAGTTCTAGGGTACATGTGCATACCGTACAGGTTTGTTACATATGTATACATATGCCATGTTAGTGTGCTGCATCCATTAACTCATCATTTACATTAGATATTCCTCCTAATGCTATCCCTCCCCACTCTACCTACCCCATGACAAGCCCCGGTGTGTGATGTTCCCCACCCTGTGTCCAAGTGTTCTCATTTTTCAGTTCCCACATATGAGTGAGAACATGAGTTCTCATTGTTCAATTCCCACATGTGAGTGAGAATTTAAAATCTGAAAAATCCTCTCATCTTTGTCATATAGCATAACTTAATCATAGGAGTGAACTGTATCATATTCAGTCACACTCACAGTCAAGGTGAGGGAACCAAACATGGCATGTACACCAGGGGACAGAAGTCATGGGAATCATAAATGGGCTTAGAGATACAAAGGACCTGATTGACAAATAGTTGATCTACCAAAGCAAACTTATAGATACAAAATGAATATATATTTTTGAAGAGCTGGAACCTAATTCTTCCAAGTGTAAAAACTTACGTTGCTGGTAAAGAAAATCCTAAATATTCCATTTTAAACGTATTCATATTGAGAGGATATTTAGGTTGATGTCATCACATCGGACTGACACCACCAGTCAGAGTCATGTGGGCTTGATGAGTGCAGAGCTACAAGTCAAAGCAAATTCTACATTTCAGTGTGTTTAATTTTATCGCCACATAAAAGAAAAAAGACTGTCCTAAAGTCTGAAGGCAGTTCAAATATATATTATTAGAAAAGAAAAAGAGCAAAGAGCATAATAAACTATGATATTGAAAAATAAAGTGATCATTAACTCCAGAGAAAAGAAAAAGGGGTATGAGAACAGAAATAAAACCATTGTCCTCTTCTTACTTCATGTATGAATAATATTTAAATGGTCATAATAACAAACAATAAGCTATCCTAAGAGAATTGGAGAGGGCAAATGTATTCATGTAAGGAAGGAAGATGTAAGAAGGGCTAATCCTTATTTTCCATTGTGAAAAGTCAGTAGAAGGTACTTTTAAAAATTGAAAAATCAGTAAATGGCAGTATAAGGACGTTTACTATAAATATGGAGATAAATATAAGTGTCAGTTGAAAGAGTTGAAAGGAGTTGCCACTGGAAGTAGTATACTGGGAGGTGGAGGCACAAGAATCCTCTTTTATAAGCCTAGTGGTACTATTTTATTTTTTCTAATGAATGCACATTGATAAGATAAAAACCTAAAGAGTCTCTTTAGAGACACAGAGGCAGAAATAGGGCATTTTTGGAAAGGGTAGGAATATCTACCAGGATATACATTATCTCATTCAATTTTCAGTTCACTATGTGAGATACAATAATTCTTACTGAAGAAATCAAAATTCCGAATGAATTATTACAGTGGCCAAATTCACACAATTATTAAGTGACAGAGACAGGTTTCAAATCCAGACCTTTAAAGTCATGACTCTTAAGTAGAAGGATGAATGAAATATTCATAGGGAAATCTGACATTTTTAGATGAAACATGAAAACATTAATGGGATCTGAACATGTGGGAACAAGAAGAAAGAATATTCCAAGCATAGAGAAATAGCTTTTAGAAAAATCAGAGCTGAAAAGTATGGAACACTTATGGGCCTTACCTACTTGACTAAAAGAGTGGGAGATGAAATGGAAGGCCAGGAACTGAATTGCTTGAAATGTTTATTTGTCATTTTAGGCCAAATTAAACCTTTTCTGTTTTAAATTGTAATGTGTTTCCCAATCATTCTTTTTTAAAATTCATCCTCATTTTAGTACAAAGCTGGACACATGTAGTACTAATTATACTTGCCTAGAGGGAAACAGAAACAAAAGTATTCACATCTAACATTGGCATATATACATCATAAACATATAGATATAACATGTACTAGTTCACAAACAAGTTCACATTTCTGTCTCATTTGATTATCCCAACAAACCTCAAAGTGGGAGATCAATTATTATTATACTTATTTCACAGAAGACAAACTGCTACTGAGGTTAATATTAGCTGCCCAAGGTTATTCGGTTGGTAAGAGCATAGCTAGGACTTGCATCAGGTCTTTCGGTCCCCACTTACAGTGGCCACACATTATTTTCTCCTCCATATCCCTTTATAGGGTTCTATTTACTTGCTCAACACCACCAAGTAAGCTAAAAAAGAGAAACCATACATTACTGTTGGGCAGAATGGGATAGCTCAGAACACTGATTCACTAGTTCTATTACCAAGCCTGTTGTTAGTTTATCAGTCCAAAGCCAGAACAATGGCATAGATACAAAACAGCTATTCAAATTAGTGTTTTTAAAATTCAGCAAAATTCAGACCAAACAACTGGAAAATTCTATTTTGCAACTGCCAAATATCTACTCAAGACTGAACATCTGGATGAACATTCAATAATCCAGATGTTTTCAAATGGCTAGACATTTGGCAAGATGATTGCTAAATACATAATTGACTGAATATTTCATAAACATCCACATATTTTAAACTTCAAATATATTCTTTAAGTAATTATGGATGTGTTATCTCCTTCCATTTTTCCACCTGTAGTATTCGACTACTCTCATAAGACACTTAAGTTTGGTCAGGTTCATTGAGGACCTGCATAGCTTTAGATATGAAAAGTATCAATTTTCCATTTAGATATTCTTATGGCCAAAATAATATGTTACCATCATGAGATAAGTTATGAATAATCCTAAAATTTAATTTGAAATTAATACTGGTCCACCCACTGGAACATGGCAGCTGAGATTTTTTTCTCTGTTTCTCTTGTTTCAAGTACTACCCACTTTTTGCCTTGTAAATAATTCTGTATTATCTTCTATAATAGATCTTGTCTTATACCCTTTAGTAATATCAAAGCACCACAGAAAGAGGAAAACAAATAAACAACACATCAAGTCATATTCTTCACTGGCCTCTGCCTAATTCCTGCCTTTTTCAGGAGAACATCAATTTCCAGCTCTCTTATTAAGTTCCTTTAAGGAGTTTCTTGGCCTAAAGTCAGTTAATTAATTAACTGATGCTTACATAAAAGATTGAGTGCCAACGAATGAAACATTGTGCAAGATGTTGTAGTGGCCAAAAATAAGCATAATATCATAATGCTATGGAGTTTAAAATCTCCTATAGTTATTAATTCAATATTCATAATAGCATGGCAAGATTGATAGTGTAATGCCTATTTTATCAATTAAGCCACTGTAGCTCAGAGGGGTTAAGTAACTTGCTAAAGAGAAGGGTCTGCAACTCAGACCTTACCACAAATCCAGTGGGCTTTCTTCAGTAGGTGACGTTTTCCAATACTGTGCTTGGTAAAAACTCTTGGTATGGAGGTGTTAATTAGGTGTCTTGTGAAAAGGATGTTTCTTGGTAAAATACTTCACAGAAATGAGTTTAACTTCGCTTAAGAGCATTTCCAAAACTTATTTGGTCATGAAAGTCTTTGCCAAAACTTGTATTAAATTTCCTTTAGAATAAGCATTCTGTAGAACACTCGTTTGAGCATTCTATAGAATAGTTTGGGAAATGTTACACTAGTTACTGCAGACTTGGTCTCAAATAGAAGCTTATGATCATCACTGTCAGGAAATTCTATTTCATTTCCTTTTAGAAATGTTTTTCTGACCACCTTGTCATCAGCTAAGTCAGGTACTCCCATATTATTTACTTGATATGCCTCTTTAATCTAGCATTTTCTTCTTTTTCTTCTTTCTTATTATCTTCCGAAGTGTTAGTTCATTAAGCCTGCCTCCTTTATCCTATGCTCTCACTGACCCAGATTTTTGGTTTCCATTAACATACTTCATTTTTCTGAGATACTGTCTTCCTCCTTTTCTAGCCCCTTCCTACTCACAAGTGTGAGCTGAGAAGCAGTAACACTGGCATCACATGGGAGCTTGCTAGACATCCAGAATCTGAGTACCACCCCTAGACCTACTGAATCAGAGTATACTGTTTGACAGAATTCCCAGATAATCCTATGAATATTAAAGTTTGGAAAATCCTTCTCTATCACAGTAGCGGATCCTTCCTGTGGCTCTTTATCAACTATATCTTCAAAGCAATGAAAAGATTATTTCATTAATAATGAAGAATGTAAAGAATAGGTTTCATGCTGAGGAGTAAATTATATACACTTTATTAAACAGGTGCATTTACACACATACATATAACCAAAATTATGTCACCCTGTGGGTACATATTTTTCAAAGGCTCCCCATAGTAATTATAATACAATCTAAGCTCTATTGTGTGAAAGATCTTCATAACCCGATGCTGCTTAGCCTAAGCAGGCCTGTACCTACTTGTCTTTTAGGTTCTATCTTAGATGACAATGCCTCTGGGAATTATTTCATGGCCTTCTAAGAATCCCCTCCACCTTCACAAGCACCCTATGGATTTATTTATTTCCTTAATAAATATTGTGTCCATCATGTACCTCTATCACAGTGCTACCTCTATCGTAGCACTTAATGTATTAAAATTGTTCCATTCATTGCCTTAAAGATCAGCAATTCTCTGAAGACAGGAATACTTTCAATCATTCAATAAATATTTATTAAGCACTTCAACTACACATTTTATAAATGGTACCAGATACTAAGGATGTAAAGTCCTTTAATATGAAAGTTATTTATTAAACGAGTGAAGGATCCAATTGATATCCTCAGTGTGTTCTCTCTGGGATATGATAACCTTCATTCCAGTCTTTTGCAACAGCCTCAATTCAAAATTTTCTCTCCTATATCCCCCGAATTTTTGTTGATTTTTAGTTTAAAAAATATGGCTATCATAATAATCAAACTCTGTATTCTGGTCTTAAAAACTAAACAAAGACTTAAAGCCTGAGTGTGTGTATTATGGGAGTGATTACATATGACAAGAAGGAGCACAGACTATAGCAAAAAGGAATATGGCTCTGGAGCTAGACTTCTTTGGTACAAATCAGCATTCAAATGCTTACCTGTTTGACTTTAGAAAGGTTATTTCAACTGTCTAGGACTTCATTTGCTCATTTGTAAAGTAAGAATTATACTAGTCCCTAATTTAAAGAGTAATTGGTTGAATTAAATTAAAAAAATACACAGAGCACTTAGCACAGTGACTGGAATAAATAAATACTCAATAAACATTTACTACTACTACTGTTTGTACATGGGATTTGTATTTGGAGAAAGATTTCAAAGCAATATTGTCCACCACAAAAAAGGTATTGCTGCTGGTAGAAAACTTGGGGTTTCTGGCCATTTATTGGCATTAGCAATTTACACTCTTTCCTTTTCCAAAAAAGCAAAAGGAAACAAGAGCCTTTCCTAGTTGTATTTCATTTAGTTTACCTAAAGAATCCTCAGACCAGCTGAAACAAATTGAGGACAGCCAACCGAATGGCTTTAAGGAAACTGCAATTACTGCACAGACCGTAGGAAATTCTAAAAAATTATGGAGAAGTACAGACATAAAAGAATCTCATTTGACACTCAAGTCTTTTACTTGGGACAATAACAAAAATATTCCCAAAGACAGCAGAGACCCTTTCCATTATTCAACTCAGCATTCCACTCAGGACTTAATGACAGAAGGCATTGCAGTTTTAATTATTTTTCTCTGGGCCCCACCCCAGCCACCCTCCACACCAGCTGCCCTGCAGCCCTGCCCAAGTACTGTAGAAGAGAAAGGCACAAAGAGAGATGATTGCGGCCAGACTGTCTCCAATTAGTCAGAATGAGAACAATGATTGGTTTTTCCTCCAGGCCAGCCTGGAAAAAATATCCTGCATTGTTGGGTGGGATGGGGAAAGAATTTGTGGCCAATGGATCAAATTCCAAACAGGAATCTTCAGGGATGTATACTGACAATGACCCATTCCACTCAAGCAGTCAAAATCCCAGAAATTCAGAAGACATATGTGGCAGTGGCCCTGAAAAAAGGTGGTGTGGTTGCTAAACCACTGCTTCTCAAAACCTAGGGCATATAAGATTAATCTGGGTTCTTGCTTTAACAGCACAGTTTCCCAAGTCCCATCCCTTAGAAGCTGAGTCAGTTGACCTGGGATACAGCTTAAGAATGTGAAAATTTATCGGCCGGGCGCGGTGGCTCACGCCTGTAATCCCAGCACTTTGGGAGGCCGAGGCGGGCGGATCACGAGGTCAGGAGATCGAGACCATCCTGGCTAACACGGTGAAACCCCGTCTCTACTAAAAATACAAAAAATTAGCCGGGCGTGGTAGCGGGCGCCTGTAGTCCCAGCTACTCGGGAGGCTGAGGCAGGAGAATGGCGTGAACCCGGGAGGCGGAGCTTGCAGTGAGCCGAGATCGCGCCACTGCACTCCAGCCTGGGCGACAGAGCGAGACTCCGTCTCAAAAAAAAAAAAAAAAAAGAAAAGAAAAAAAAAAAACAAGAATGTGAAAATTTATCAACAACGCTTCCTCCCCCAGAATAATTCTGTTCCAGGTGATCTGCAAACCAAAGTTTGAAAATAAAAAACTGCCTTGAATGGCTGGTGAGGAATGGCTGCTGAGCAGCTGGAAGCCCAGCTTCAGGTGAAGCTGATTTTCCAGCTTATATGTTGTGATAAACAAAGTCATGCTAAGATATTAATAATTAAGGTTAGCATCAAGATTTAGAAAGAATGAGCACATTAAGTCAAACATCAGCTTCAAAGTCTAGCTCCCATACCTGACAGCTGGCTTCCAGTTCCTAAGAACTGGAAAAGCATTTACAAAAAAACTTTTATTTTCGGTTTGGGGGTACATGTGAACGTTTGCTACATAGGTGAACTTGTGTCATGGGGTTTTGTTTTACAGATTATTTCATCAATGTTACCTTTTCTGCTTCTCTGCCACCTCCCACCCTCCACCTTCAGATAGAATCCAGTGTCTGTCGTTTCTTTCTTTGTGTTCATGAGTTCTCATCATTTAGCTCCCACTTACAAGAACATGCAGTATTTGGTTTTCTGTTCCTGCATTAGTTTGCTAAGGATAATGGCCTCCAGCTCCATCCATATTCCCTTGAAAGATATGATCTTGTTCATTTTTAGGCTGCATAGTATCCCATGGTGTATATGTATCACATTTTCTTTACCCAATCTGTCGTTGATGGGCATTTAGATGGTTTCCATGTCTTTGCTACTGTGAATAGTGCTGCAATGAACATATGCGTGCATGTGTCAAAAGCATAATTTTCTAAGACTCCTGTCTCCTAGTACCCATGAGAAAAAAACCAAAGTGATTATACTGAATAAATAAGGCAATGTATATAAATGTGCTTGCAAATGTAAAATGTTCAATGAATATTCGTCGTTGTGGTTAATGTGACTCAGAATCAAACACATTTTAAAAGTGAGATCCTAAAAACTCTTAAGAGTTAAGGCATAGAAAAAACTTTTATATAGCAGAGGTAGAGTCACTAAAAGGCAACTGAGGGGCTATGTAGGGTCTCCTATATCTCAGTATATAGATAAGGAGTATATATGTAACATACGTATACAGTATATATGAGTAATTTCCCATCTGTGGAGCCAGTAGTTAAAGGCTCCAAACCTTTCAATGACCTCAACTCACTCATTATTTTTTCCTGAAGTCCTTAAACTTCAGTGAATGCAATCCAATTAAAAAAAAAACATGACAACTTTTCTACTTTGTTTTCTCAATCCATCCCCTGACCAGCTTTTAAAAATTTTTTTAAACTATGGAGAATTTTCTAAGCCAGCTCTAAGTCTTTTCTAAGTCCTGAGTTGCTGGACTGCTCAATTACTGGGGAAAGAAGTATCCCTATTATTAGGCCTGGGTCTCCCCAGAACACTATCAGCTCCTGGAGTAGCACCTTAGTCCCCAACAGCAGGACTGAAATTTCATAGAGCTCCTTCTCTGTACCTTGATACTTGAGCAAACCCAGGCACCATTTAGCTAGAGCTTATGCGAGAGCAGAAAATAAAAATGAGGATTAAAAACTAGAAGCAGAAAAGGAAATAAGGTAAAGGAAAAAAAACCTGAGAAAGAAGAGTTCTCAAGAAACTCTAGCCAAATACATTTAATAATTTTTACATCTGGTGGGGAAATGGCCAGGAAAGAACCCCCATGGAGGTGGTGGATCCTGAGGGAATGTCAAGTTGATGAAGCTATCATTCACATGCTCCTGCCTTGCCCCCGTCACCCATCCACCATTCTCACAAGCTGTTCTTAAGATCAGCAAAGGGTCTCCTCTCTGCTAATGTACCTTTAAATATATAGATGGTCTGTAGCCACAATGCCTGAGCCTTTAGGAGAGCAAAGGGCTTAAGTCAAAAGGTTGCTCAGGGACAGCCACTACTCATAAGCAGAAAGTTAGAGGAAATGGATACTTAACCTCCAGTGTACCCAGTATATCACACCTCCCTGAAGGCCCAGAGGAGGCTCCCAGAGAGACTGAGGCTGGCTGAGTGCTTCTGAGCCTGAGTGTGGGGCGATGCTGGCTGCTGCTGATAATTCCATGCATAGACACACTGGGGAAAGCTGGTGGAGAGTAAAGGGAAATCCAGAGCAGCCTTCACCATTTTAGTTGTGTGCTTTGAGGCAATCTGCATTGACCCTTTTTAACCTAGTTTCTTGATCCATCAAGTACAATGGACAATACCCTCATTCCAACAACACACTATTGGCTAAGAAAATTAAATTTAGTAAGAAATGGCATCTAGCCATCAACTCATGATGTGTTCTCTTTTTCATCCCTACAAAGAAACTAAGAAGACACAGGACAAAAAAAAAAACTTGAATAACATTTAAAAGTAGAACTATTAGCTATACTCTCCATTCTTTTCCATCAATTTTCTAGGTCAACATCAGCCACTGATGGACACTTGAAACAGCAACACAGCTGATTTATTGGCTTCTGCTATTGACTCCCAATAATGCATTTCCTATAGAGAGATATGTAGAGATTGTAAACAAATTATTATGAAATGTATCATGCATATAAAAGAGTGTATATAATGTATACGTAGAGTTTAATAATAATAATAAAGCAAAAGTCCATCTTAACAGATTATCACCAATATCTTTACTGCCCCTGTGGGTCCCTTCTTGATTGCATTCCTCTTCCTTCTCTTGAAATTTGATCACTACGCTGCATTTTGTCTTTTTCATTTATTTGCTTTTCTTTATATTATTATCACAAAGGTATCCATCCCCAACTATTAAATTAGTCTTAACTCTTATTTAAACTTCATTTATTGGAAACATACTAAGTATTCTTTTGTGACTGTCTTATTATGGCTCAATGATGTGTTCCTAAGAATTTATCCACATCGATGCATATAGTCCTTAAATTTCACAGCTGCAAAATGTTCTCTTTGTATGGATAAACATAATTTAGTACCCATTCATCTCTTGATGGACGTACACATTATATCCAGTATTTTACTAGTATAAGCAATACTAACATGGATGTTCTTGTACATGGTCTCTGGCACAAACTGAAGTTTCCTGAGGAATATCCCCAAGAGTAGAACTGCTGACCATGGAGTACATGCAAATCTTTATCAGGTAATGCAAAAATGTCCACTGGAATGATTATACCAATTTATTATTTTGTCAACAGTGTATGAGTTCCTGTTGCTCCATACCCACACCAGCAATTGGAATTGTCATATTTTATAGTTCTGGCAAAATCTGCTAATTTTAATTTCCATTTTCTAATTATTAATGAGGTTGAATAGCTTCAGATATGATTATTGGCCATTCATGTGTTCTTTTTTGAATTACCTGCTCATGTCTTTTGTTCCTTTATATATTGGTGTATTTGTCTATTTTCTTATATATTCTGAAGGCTAATCCTTTTTCAGTTATATGTGTTACAAATATATTTGTCAGGTCTGTGGCTTATCTTTTTACTTTATGACATCTTGCAGTGAAAAATAATTCTAAATTTTAATGTAAAACTTTTTCGATATTTATCAAATAATTTTCTTTGTGGTATTTTGAGTTTTCTATGTTAAAACTTTCCCTATCTTACGGTCAGAAAGAATTCTATTATATTGATTCTAAAAAATTAATAGCTCTGCCTCTCAGATTTATGCTAATTCCACTGGAATTTAAAAGTATTTTCTTATTGCAAAGTATTCTCACATACAGAAAAGTGCGCGACGTGTAAATGCACAGATTAATTATCATGAAGTGATCACCGGGATAAACACCATTCAGATCAAGAAATAAAAGATATGCCAGAACTCCAGAGTTCCTCCCCTCTTCCTGTCATGGCCTCTCCCAACTCCTACTCCCTGCCTTCTCCACCAAGTATAACTACTATTTTGACTTACAACCCAATAATTTTGTTTTTACAGTTTTCAAAGCTCAGGTAAATGAAATCAAAAGTTTAATCTTCTGTGTCTGGCTTCTGTCTTAAATATCATGTTTTGATGTTCACCCATGTTGTTGCATTTAACAGCAGTTCATTCCTTTTTGTTTAAATATGAAATACACAGTTATATGAATTATACCACAACTTATTTACCCATTCTACTCTTGATGAATATATGTATTGTCTCCAGTTTGAGTTATTACCAACGCAAACATTTTTACACATCTCCTAGAAAACAGGTACCACATTTATTTTGGATATATACTTAGGAGAATGGCTGGGTAATAAAACATGGGTATTAACAGCTTTAGTAGATATTGTCAGAGTTTTCTAAAAGGGTTGTACCAAATTACAATTTCACCCACGGTGGATGAGGGTTATAGTTGTGCCATACTCCTGCCAATGAACGGTATTGTTAATCTTTCTGACTTTAGCCATTCTGATGGATATTTAGTGGTATTTTGTTATTATTTAAATCTGCAATTCCCTAATTATTAATAAATATGGGCGCTTTTTCATATGTTTATTGGCCATTTGGATACCCTCCTCCTTGAAGTATCTATTCAAGTCTTTTATACAGTTTTCTACTGACTTATCTGATTTTCTTTCTTCCTTTTTTTTGTCTATGACAAACTAAACTTTTTTTTAAACTTTAGTTTCATGGATACATCTGCAAGTTTGTTATATAGATAAATTGTGTGTCAAAGGAGGTTTGGTGTACAAATTACTTCATCACCCAGGTAATAAGCATACTACCCGATAGGTTTTCTTACTGAAATTTTTACATGTTGGATACCTATACTAGATTATATATTGCAAATAGATACAGCTCCTTTGTTAGTTATGTATGTTGCGCATGTCTTCTCTCCATCTGTGATATGCCTTTTCATTCTTTTATTGTTATTTTTGATTATCAAAATTTCTTACATTTATATAATTCAGTTTATCAGTATCTTCCTTTATGGTTTGTGCTTCTATGTTATTTTGTAGTTTTATTTTTTAATTCTTCATTAGATTTAAAACACAAACAAAACTGACTTCTCTGTATAGTGTAAGGGAGAGTTATTTTTGTTTAATATAGCTAGATGATTGACAAAGCACCATTTTTTAAAAGACCATCATTTCTCATGCACCACGTGCATATATCACACACAGTTCTGTTTCTTGGTTCTCTTGTTGTTTTAGTGGTCTGTTTGTCTATTTCTATATATCCATAATTACTTTAACTTTATAATTTGTCTTTTTATCTGGTAGGGAAAATCTACTACCCTGTTCTTGAAGTACAGCTTGGTTACTCTTGGCCATTTTTTATGCCATATAAATTGTAGAATCAACTTGCTAAATTTCATAAAAACTTTTGATATTTTTGGTAAAATCTCCATTAAATTTGGCAAGAATTAATTTCTTTATAATATGGTTCCTCCCCCATGAATTTAGTATATATCTCCCTCTCTTTGAATATCCTTTAATAACTGTCAATATAATTTACTCCATAAATTACTTCCACATCTAAGAAAATTATCTTATATTTGCTGCTGCTGTTTTAAAGAGCACATAGGTTGAGCACTGCTAGTCCAAAACTCTGAAATTTAAAATGCTCCAAAATGCAAAACTTTTTGAATGCCAGCATGACATCACAAGTGAAAAATTCCACATCTAAACTCATGTGACAGGTTGCAGTCAAAATGAAGTTAAAACTTTGCTTCATGCACAAAATTATTTAAAATACTGTAGAAACTTACCTCAGGCTATATGTATAAAGTGTATTTAAGACACACATTTTGTGTTTAGACTTGGGTCCCATCCCCAAGTTTTATATATATGCAAATACTCAAAAATCCCAAATGATCCGAAACCCAAAACACTTCTTGGTCTCAAGAATTTTGAATAAAAGATAACCTGTAGTATATAGAAATGCAGATAACTTTTTACATTGATCTTATATCTGACAAACCTGGTTTTATTTTTCCTCTTACTAACTTTTATATTATTTTTCTTGTCTTTTTCTACTGACAAGGATCTTCAAGATGATGTTGAATAGAACTGATGATAGCAGACACAGTTTAAAGGAATGTTTTTAATATTTTACTACTAAGTAAGATAGAAGGAATACATTCAATGCTTGATAGCAGAATAAGGTGACTGCACTTAACAAAAATGTATTCTATTCAGGTGATGAACACTCTAAATACCCTGTCTTGGTCACCATGCATTACATACATGTAACAAAATTTCACATGTACCCCATAAATGTGTACAAATAAAAATGTACTACTAAATATAATATTTATTTTTTTTTACAAATATTCTTTATTATATTAAGGAAGTTCTTTTTAATTCTTGGTTTAATAAAAGTTATAATCATGAGCAGATGCCAGGCACTATCAATGGATTTTTCCCCAGCATCTATTGAAAAGAATAATGTAATTTTTCTTGTTTATGTTGAGGTAGATCACATCAATAGATTTTTTTTCTAGTGCTTAACTAAACTGAATTCTGCAACATTTACATTCTGTCATAGTGTATTTCTTTCCATGCACTGCTAAATTTAGTTGCTAATATTTTGTTTAGGGTTTTGGCATATATGATTATGAATGATTTTGGCCTGCAATATTTCCTACTCATTTTTTTAAACTGTTCTTGTCTGGTTTTGATATCAAATGTTTACTTGGCCATAAATGTCCCTTTTGTTCCCTTAATCTGCAAGATGTTTGTAGTATTTATGTTTTCTAATCCATGAATATTCAGTAAGAGTTACCTGCAAAAATTTTGGGCCTGTTACTTTTCTTCTAGGATGTTTTTAAAACTGCTATTTAATTTCTTCGATGGTTATAAAACAATTCATGTTTTCTATTTCTTATCAAATTCAGTTAGTAATTTACATTTTTTTCTAAGAGTTAAACACTTCATCTAAGTTTTCAAATGTATTGCCTAAAGTTATTTGTATTTTGTTTTAATATCTTTTCATCTCTACTACAACTGTAGTTAGATTATACTCTTTCAAAATCTGGTATCTGTGCCTTCGTTATTTTTTTCTTTATCTTAACAAAATTATTTATTTCTTTCTACTTGGTTGGCTCATTCTATTTTTACTTTTTCTTAATTATTAAGTTGTATGCATAGAACATCAATTTTCAGGCTTTCTTTCTTCTAACATAAGCAGGTAAATCTATCAATTTCCTTTTAAGCACCACAATTAGCTATATCCCACAATTAAAAAAAAACTATTGGAGTATCTAGAAGTGTGTCTGAAAAATTCAATCTGAAAATAAACAAAAAAATCATCTCACCAGAAAATTTAAAAATAAATTTTAAAAATTTTAAATTAAATTTAAAAACTATCTTTAAATAAAAAACATAACCACACTGAAAGGAAAATTTTATTTATTTTCTGTTTTTTAACCAAATGAAGAGAAAAAAAAGGAAAGAACTTTTTAAAAGGAAACACTCCAAGCAAAATTTTTTTTTTTTCCTAGACGGAGTTTCATTCTTGTTGCCCAGGCTGGAGTGCAATGGCACGATCTCGGCTCACCGCAACCTCCGTCTCCTGGGTTCAAGCGATTCTCCTGCCTCAGCCTCCCGAGTAGCTGGGATTACAGGCATGCACCACCATGTATGGCTAATTTTTTGTATTTTTAGTAGAGACAGGGTTTTTTCATGTTGGTCAAGCTGATCTCGAACTCCTGACCTCAGGTGATCCGCCCGCCTCGGCCTCCCAAACTGCTGCGCTGGGCCCACTCCAAGTACATTTTTACAGGCTACAGAAAAATACTGTAAACAAATATCGAACTCTCAGGTTTTTTTTTCATCTAGATGAGTTAGCAACTCTAAAGCTGCTTTGTGTATATCCTAGCTTGAGCAAAAATTAAACATATTATAGATAATAAGAAGCATATTTTTCACAGTTGAAGAAGTTATACATCAAAGAGGAAAATATATAATGAAACCATTGATACTGAATTTGAATTAAATCTTTCACTGTAAACTCATAGTTTGATGCAGGTAGAGGTACAGATATAAACTCAGATATTGATACAGTTAGGTTCAGGGGTTTGTTTATGTATAGACATACATATATTTTTATATACATAGTCACATTTCTTAGATCTGTCTGTTGGCAGGGCCTACAAGCAATGATACTCCGGTAGGCATAAGCACACCTAGAACCCAGATCTTTGTTACAAAACACTTTCCTCCACTAAAAAGAAACTAGAGATCCTTGGAGAAATGATTTATTCCAGGCTTGGGTTGTAGAAGTTAAAAACGAGCTTGAAATACCTTACTGTTTCAGAAAGTATGGTAGCACTTAAAGAATGATGATCATTTCAGAGGACACGAGAGAGCATGAAGAGGCTTCTACTGCACAAACCTATGACAATTTTAGGCATTCAAGTAAATAATGATAGTAAGGGAAAAGATCTTATTTACAGTCAAATGCCAGCTAATAAATGTAGAAAGAATATAGGGATTATAAAATCATTATTTGGTAACAGTAAAAGTTGATTAAGGGGAAGAGGAAAAATAAAAACTCATTACAAAAATGGGCAAAAATTCTGAGTAGAAACTTTATATAAAATATATAATAATTAGGGACCCACAGATTAAACCTACATCAAAACATTTATAATAGCATCAAAAAGAATAAAATATTTTAGAATAAACCTAAGGGGACTAAAGGCTGTACAATGAAAACTACAAATGTTGCTGAAAGAAACTAGAGAAGACACAAATAAATGAAAAGACATCTGTGTTCAAGAATTGAAAGGCTTAATATTGTTAAGATATCAATACTATCCAAAATGATTGACAGATTTAATGCAATCTCTACAAAAATACAACAACATTTCTGCAGAAATAGAAGAAGCATCCTAAAATTCATTTCAAATCTCAAGAGACCCTGGAGAGCTAAAACAATCAAAAGAAGAACAAAGCTAGAGTTCTCACATTTCCTGATTTTAAAACTTACTACAAAGCTACAGTAATCAAAGCAGTGTGGTACTGACAAAGAAACAGACATAGACCAATGGGATAGAATAGAGAGACAAAAAATAAATTCCGGCATATATAATCAAACGTTTCTTGACAAAAATGTAAAGACCACTTAATGGGGAAAGGACAGTCTCTTCAAAAAATGTTGGGAAAACTGGACATCTACATTCAAGATTATGAAGCTGGACCCTTACCTTATACAAAAAAAAAAAAAAAAACAACTCAGAGTGGATCAATGACTTATACACAAGGCCAGAATTATAAAACCCTTTGAAGAAAACATAGGGGAAAGCTGTATGATATTGGATTTATCAATTTCTTGGATATGACACCAAAGGCAAAGGTAACAAAAATAAAAATAGACAAGTTAGACTAAATCAAAATTTAAAACTTCTGTGTATCAAATGACACAATTAACAGAGTGAAAACGCAACCTACAGAATTGGAGAAAATATTTGCAAGTGATATATCTGATAAGTGGTTAATATCCAGAATATATAAAGACCTACTACAACCCAAGCAAAAAACATATATATAACCCATTTTTTTAAAAGGGCAAAGGATTTGAATAGACATTTATCTAAATAATATATCTAAATTGTCATGCTCAACATCAGTAGTCACTAGGGAAATGCAAATCAAAACTACAATGAAATACCACCTCTTATTCATTAGGATGGTTATTACCCCCCCAAAAAAAACCCCCAGAAAATAACAAGTGTTAACAAGGATGTGGAGAAATCAGAACTCTTGTACACTGTCGGTGGGAAATGTAAAATGGTGCAAATGCTGTGGAAAACAGTATGGCAGTTTCTCAAAACCCAAAAACAGAATTACCATATGACCCAGCAATTCCACTCCTGAGTAGTTACAAAAAAGAGTGGAAAGCAGAGTCCCAAAGAGACATGTGCACATCCATATTCATAGGAACACTATTCACAATAGCCAAGTGAAAGCAACGCAAGTGCCCATGGACAGACGAATAAACAAAAAGTGGTATACACATACAATGGAATAATTTTCAGTCTTACAAAGAATGAAAATTCTGACACATATTACAATGTGGCTGAAACTTAAGGACATTAAGTGAAATAAGCCAGTAACAAAAAGACAAATACTACATGATTCTGTTTATGTGAAGTGTCTAGAATAGTCCATTTCATAGAAACAAAGTAGAATGGTGGTTGCCAGGGGATGGGAAGAGGGAAAATTTTAATGGGTATACAGTTTCAGTTTTGCAAGATGAAAAGTTGTAGAGATTGGTTAAGCAAGTAAACATACTTAACATAACTGAACTGTACGCTTAAGAATAATTAAGATGATATATTTTATGTTATGTATATTTTACCACAATTTAAAAAAACTAACAGTCTTTAAAATTTTTATGAATATGAATAAGCTAATAAAATGTGTGATGGCCCAAATTTTAAAAAAACATACTGAAATATCATTTTTCACCTATAATATTGTCAAAAGTAGAAAAAAGTATGACAACACATTCTGTTGGCAGGGCTTTAGGGAAACAAGCACAGTCACACATTGTTGGTGAAAAAGCAAATTTGTATAAACCTTTTTGGCAAGAAATCTGGAAATATCTAACACAACTACATATGTGTTCATCTTTTGACTCAGTAATTCTACCACTAAAAATTTATCCTGAAGTGCCCCTCCAACAGTATGAAAATAAATGTGCACAATACAGCTTTGTTTCTAATTGAAAAATGTTGAAATACTGTAAATTCCCATATATAGTGAAGCTGTAAAATAAACTATGGCACATGTCCTCATTATAGATTGTAATTTATACAAGGAATGTTTTAAATATATATTTTTTTCCTCGGGTTTAAGATTTAAGATTCCTGGGCCTAATATACAAATACCTCAGTGTATTTTTTTTAATTTGTTGCCATATCATCATGCAAATTCCCACTGCTATCAGTGCTATATAGATGTGCTAGTCTTACTAGTATAGGGTATTATGATAACAATTTGAAAAATCAAGTCTCATATATGAATAATAACATCATGTTGCTTTAATTTATATCACTATAATTAGTGTTAAAGATAAGTGTTTTTATATATGTTTACTATTTGTTGCTTATCTGTAGATTTTTGGAAATCTAAGTAAAGAGAATCATCAAAAGATAGAATGCCTTCAACAAGTCACTCAGGTATTTCTGTAGCATAAAAAGGGTCACTTTAGAAAAATTATTGATTTTATTATTTTGTCTAACAATGGCATACCTAGCATATTTGATACCTGGAGCAAATCCTTTTTAACACTCTCTCCTTTGTATGACAAAATTATTTTCAGTAACAGTCTTGAAATAAAATAATAACAACAAGGGTTAGAAAAGTAGGGGAGACGTTATTGAGATATCACACAGACCTTAGGATTTAATTTTCAGGTTTAGAGCCAGTTATAAAGTTGAATGTTCATTTTTTTGTTCCAGTATCTATAGCCTGCGAAAACAAAATAATTATTTCAACCTTGAAAATATTGCCATGTTTTTTTCACTGTTTGGTAAGGATTTCTAAAATCATGAAGTTTTCATTTCTTTGGTGCTTCCTTTGCTCTTTTTTCCTTGTCTTTGAGCTGCAGAGAAGAGTCCATATGTATTCGGAATAGGTTCACTTCCTCTCTTAATCAGATTAACTCCTACCATCTGGAAACGGCATTGGTCATCACTAACATCAAATTAGATTAAAATGTCATTCACTGTCTCTTCTTCATCAGTGTCTTGGCTTTATTAATGCCATTTTCTTCTCAATTTAAAAAAATCCTCCGTGATAGTATTTGCTAGCATTCCTTTCTCTTCCTTGTCAATGCTTGTAGAAGATAATTCATTGCTATCTTTTATACCAGTATCATCTGAATCCTGGGTGTTTCTATTATCCATGCTTTAGATATACCAACTTGGATTTATTTAAAACGTTCATAAACTATATGAAATGCTGAAGGAGTTATCTATTTCAGACTAGTTACAGACATTGCTTCAATTGGCTCTCCTTTTGCGTTTTGTGTGTGTGTGTGTGTGTGTGTGTGTGTGTGTGTGTGAGACGGAGTCTCGCTCTGTCACCCAGGCTGGAGTGCAGTGGCGCGATCTCTGCTCACTGCAAGCTCCGCCTCCTGGGTTCACGCCATTCTCCTGCCTCAGCCTCTCGAGTAGCTGGGACTAGAGGCGGGCACCACCACGCTCGGCTAATTTTTTTGTAGTTTTAGTAGAGACGGGGTTTCACCGTGTTAGCTAGGATGGTCTCGATCTCCTGACCTCGTGATCCACCTGCCTCGGCCTCCCAAAGTGCTGGGATTACAGGCGTGATCCTTTTGCTTTTTTAAAAAACAATTCTCTGTTGAGCCCCACTGGGTCATTGCCCTTTTATGTATGTGTGGGGTTTTTTACTCCAAATTTCTTTATAAAATTCAACAAATTTATTAAACAGTTTCCAATTTTGGAACAATATTCTAAATGACTGAAAGGTCTTCCAAGTTCCTGTAGGACGAAAGTGCACAATTCAGCAGCTTTTATATTAACCTAGCAGTTTTAGCTTTGATGCTTATATTAAAATTCTATGGAAAATGTGTTATGTAAATAATTGTCTAATAACTAAGTGAATTTTAATACAACAAAAATGTCTGCAAAGGGAACAATTTATACTATGACTAAATTGTATGACTGAAGTAATTTTATACATCTGCATTTCTTCTTTAACCTAAAGATAAATAGATAACAATGTAAAGGGGGATACATGTCAATTTTAAAATATTTTATTTATTTTATTTTAGTTTTAGTTTAGTTTTGTGCAAGTTTGTTACATGGGTATATTGTGTGATGCTGAGATTTGGGCTTCTAATGATCCCATCACCTAAGCAGTGAACAGAATACCGGATAGGTAATTTTTCAACCCTTCTGTCCTCTCTCCCTCTTTGTTTTTGGAGTCCCCAGGATTTATTGTTTCCATATTTGTATCCGTGTGTACCCAGTGTTTAGCTCCCACTTACAAGTGAGAACATGCAGTATTTGGTTTCCTGTTTCTGTGATAACTCACTTAGGAGGATGGCTCCAGCTGCAACTGTGTTGGTGCAAAGGACATGATTTAGTTCCTTAAAAAATTATTTTTCGAAATCATATAAAAGTTTCGCATATGAACTATTTACTTTCCCCAAACAAATATTACACCTCACAGGTTCACTCTGTTTTGTTGTTTAAAATTTAAACACAGTAACTCCATGTGGTCATACCAAATGACAAAATTGAAAAACTCAAGTTCTGTTTCTTTATCTTTACAATAACAGTGTTATCATTTATTATTTTGAATTACAGTTTAAGTACAGGAATATATAGCTTTTAGGAGTTGTAGACAAAACTGTATACAAAATGCACTCTAATTATTCCAAAATTTATAAATTTACTCTTAGGATGAATTTATATACCTGTCATGGTCAAGTATTTAACTGAAGTACTCCACATTAACTCCTTTATAAGACAGAATATTTATTAAACGGTAAGTTTTTAAAAGGTGCTAATTTGAAAGTGAAATATGTATTATTAAAATCAATATTAATAATAGCAATTGTTTAGAAGTTAGAACAACATGAGGTTTGGTGGAATAAGTAACTTTTATTTTATGTAATTTATTTATTTTATTTTTTATTATACTTTAAGTTCTGCGATACATGTGCAGAATGTGCAGTTTTGTTACATAGGTTATACATGTGCCATGGTGGTTTGCTGCACTCATCAACCGGTCATTCAGGTTTCAAGCCCAGCATGCATTAGGTATTTGTCCTAATGCTATCCCTCCCCTTGCCCCCCATTCCCCGACAGGCCCCAGTGTGTGATGTTCCCCTCCCTGTGTCCATGTGCTCTCATTTTTCAACTCCCACTTATGAGTGACAACATGTGGTGTTTGGTTTTCTCTTCCTGTGTTAGTTTGCAGAGAATGATGGTTTCCAGCCTTTTCCATGTCTTTTTAAAGGACATGAACTCATTCCTTTTTATGGCTGCATAGTATTCCATGGTGTACATGTGCCACATTTTCTTTATCCACTGTATCATTGATGGGCATTTGGGTTGGTTCCAAGTCTTTGCAATTGTAAATAGTGCTGCAGTAAACATATCTGTGCATGTGTCTTTATAAGTAGAATGATTTATAATCCCTTGGGTATATACCTAGTAATGGGATTGCTGGGTCAAACGGTATTTCTGGTTCTAGATTCTTGAGGAATCACCATACTATCTTCCAAAATGGTTGAACTAATTTATACTCCCACCAACAGTGTAAAAGCATTCCTATTTCTCCACATCCTCTCCAGGATCTGTTGTTTCCTGACTTGAATGATTGCCACTCTAACTGGCATGAGATGGTATCTCATTCTGGTTTTGATTTGCATTTCTATAATGACCAGTGATAAAGAGCTTTTTTACATATGTTTGTTGGCTGCATAAATGTCTTCTTTTGAGAAGTGTCTGTTCATACCCTTAGCCCACTTTTTGATGGGGCTGTTTGTTTTTTTCTTGTAAATTTGTCTAAGTTCCTTGTAGATTCTGGATATTAGACCTTTGTCAGATGGATAGATTGAAAAAATTTTCTCCCATTCTATAGGTTGCCTATTCACTCTGACAATAGGTTTTTTTTTTTTTTTTTTTTTTTTTTTTTTTTTTTTTGCTGTGCAGAAGCTCTTTAGTTTAATTAGATCCCATTTGTCAATTTTGGCTTGTGTTGCCATTGCTTTTGGTGTTTTAGTCATGAAGTCTTTGCCCATGCCTATGTCCTGAATGGTACTGCCTAGGTTTTCTTCTAGGGTTTTTATGATTTTCGGTCTTACATTTAAGTCTTGAATCCATCTTGAGTTAATTTTTGTGTAAGGTTTAAGGAAGGGGTCCAGTTTCGGTTTTCTACATATGGCTAGCCAGTTTTCCCAGCACCATTTATTAAATAGGGAATCCTTTCCCCATTGCTGTTTTTGTCAGGGTTGTCAAAGATCAGATGGTTGTAGATGTGTAGTGTTATTTCTGAGGCCTCTGTTATGTTCCATTGGTCTGCATATCTGTTTTGGCATCAGTACCATGATGTTTTGGTTACTGTAGCCTTGTAGTATAGTTTGAAGTCAGGTAGCATGATGCCTCCAGCTTTGTTCTTTTTGCTTAGGATTGTCTTGACTATATGGGCTCTTTTTTTGTTTCCATATGAAATTTAAAGTAGTTTTTTCTAATTCTGTGAAGAAAATCAACAACGGCTTGATGGGGATAGCATTGTATCTATACATTACTTTGGATAGTATGCCCATTTTCACAATATTGATTCTTCCTATCCACGAGCATGGAATGTTTTTCATTTGTTTGTGTCCTCTCTTGTTTCCTTGAGCAGTGGTTTGTAGTTCTTCTTGAAGAAGTCCTTCACATCCCTTGTAAGTTTTATTGCTAGGTATTTTATTCTTTTTGTAGCAATTGTGAATGGGAGTTCACTCATGATTTGGCTCTCAGTTTGTCTGTTATTGGTGTATAGGAATGCTTGTGAGTTTTGCACATTGATTTTGTACCCTGAGACTTTGCTGAAGTTGCTTATCAGCTTAAGGAGATTTTGGGCTGAGATGATGGAGTTTTCAAAATATACAATCATGTCATCTGAAAACAGAGACAATTTGACTTCCTCTCTTTCTATTTGAATACCCTTTATTTCTTTCTCTTGCCTGATTGCCCTGGCCAGAACTTCCAACACTACGTTGAATAGGAGTGGTGAGAGAGGACATCCTTGTCTTGTGCCAGTTTTCAAAAGGAATACTTCCAGCTTTTGCCCATTCAGTATGGTATTGGCTGTGGGTTTGTTATAAACAGCTCTTATTATTTTGAGATATGTTCCATCAAAACCTAGTTTATTGAGAGTTTTTGGCATGAAGCGGTGTTGAATTTTATCAAAGGTCTTTTCTGCATCTATTAAGACAATCATGTGGTTTTTGTCATTGGTTATGTTCATGGGAGGGATTACCTTTATTGATTTGCATATGTTGAACCAGCCTTGCATCCCAGAGATGAAGCCAGCTTGATTGTGGTGGATAAGCTTTTTGATGTGTTCCTGGACTCGGTTTGCCAGTATTTTATTGAGGATTTTTGCATGAATGTTCATCCTGGGTATTGGCCTGAAATTTTCTTTTTTTCTTGTGTCTCTGCCAGGTTTTGATATCAAGATGATGCTGGCCTCATAAAATGAGTTAGGGAGAAGTCCCTTTTCTTCTATTGTTTGGAATAGTTTCAGAAGGAATGCTACCAGCTCCTCTTTTTACCTGTGGTAGAATTCGACTGTGAATCCATCTGGTCCTGGGCTTTTATTGGTTGGTAGGCCATTAATTACCGCCTCAATTTCAGAAGTTGTTATTGCTTTATTGAGGGATTCGATTTCTTCCTGGTTTAGTCTTGGGAGGGTGTTTGCGTCCAGGAATTTATGCATTTCTTCTAGATTTTCTAGTTTATTTGCATAGAGGTATTTATAGTATTCTCTGATGGTAGTTTGTATTTCTGTGGGATCAGCAGTGATATCCCCTTTATCATTTTTTATTGTATTTATTTGATTCTTCTCTCTTTTCTTCTTTATTAGTCTGGCTAGCCGACTATCTATTTTGTTAATCTTTTCAAAAAACCAGCTGCTGGATTCACTGATTTTTTGAACGGTTTTTTGTGTCTATCTCTTTCAGTTCTGCTCTGATCTTAGTTACTTCTTGCCTTCTGCTAGCTTTTGAATTTGTTTGCTCTTGCTTCTCTAGTTCTTTTAATTGTGATGTTAAGGTGTTGATTTTAGATCTTTCCTGCTTTCTGATGTGGGCATTCAGTTTCCCTCTAAACACTGCTTTAGCTGTGTCCTAGAGATTCTGGTAGGTTGTGTCTTTGTTCTCATTGGTTTTGAAGAACTTATTTATTTCTGCCTTAATTTGGTTATTCACTCAGCAGTCATTCAGCAACAGGTTGTTCAGTTTCCATGTAGTTGGACGGTTTTGAGTGCGTTTCTTAATCCTGAGTTCTAATTTGATTGCACTATGGTCTGACAGACTGTTTGTTATGATTTCCATTCTTTAGCATTTGCTGAAGAGTGTTTTACTTCCAATTGTGTGGTGAATTTTAGAATAAGTGCGATGTGGTGCTGAGAAGAATGTATATTCTGTTGATTTGGGGTGGAGAGTTCTGTAGATGTCTATTAGGTCCACTTCTTCCAGAGCTGAGTTCAAGTCATGAATATCCTTGTTAATTTTCTGTCTTGTTGATCTGTCTAGTATTGACAGTGGGGTGTTAAAGTCTCCCATTATTATTATTGGGAGTCTAAGTCTTTTTGTAGATCTCTAAGAACTTGCTTTATGAATCTGGATGCTTCTGTATTGGGTGCATATATATTTAAAATAGTTAGGTCTTCTTGTTGCATTGACCCTTTTATGATTATGTAATACCCTTCTTTGTCTTTTTTGATCTTTGGTGGTTTAAAGTATGTTTTATTGGAGACTAGGATTGCAACCCTGCTTCTTTTTGCTTTCCATTTGTTTGGTAAGTATTTCTCCATCCCTTTGTTTTGAGCCTATATGTGTCTTTGCACCTGAGATGGGTCTCCTGAATATAGCACAGCAATAGGTCTTGACTCTTTATCCAATTTGCCGGTCTGTGTCTTTTAATTGGGGCATTTAGCCCATTTACATTTAAGGTTAATATTGTTATGTGTGAATTTGATCCTGTCATCATGATGCTAGCTGGTTATTTTGCATATTAGTTGATGCAGTTTCTTCATACCGTCAATGGTCTTTATATTTTGGTATGTTTTTGCAGTGGCTGGTACTGGTTTTTCCTTTCCACATTTAGTTCTTCCTATAGGAGCTCTTGTAAGGCAGGCCTGGTGGTGACAAAATCCCTCAGCATTTGCTTCTCTGTAAAGGATTTTATTTCTCCTTCCCTTATGAAGCTTAGTTTGGCTGGATATGAAACTCTGGGTTGAAAATTCTTTTCTTTAAGAATGTCGAATATTGGCCCCCACTCTCTTCTGGCTTATAGGGCTTCCTCTCCTGCCTCAGTCTCCCAAGTAGTTGGGATTACAGGCAAGCACCACCACACCCAACTAATTTTTGTATTTTTAGTAGAGGTGGGGTTTCGCCATGTTGTTCAGGCTGGTTTCGAACTCCTGGCTTCAGTTGATCCACCCACCTCGGCCTCTCAAAATGCTGGGATTACAGGCATGAACCACTGTGCCTGGCCCAATGTCCCTATTTCTTCAAATATATTTTCTACTTGCTTGCCTCTCTTCTATCCATCTCGGACTCAAATACATGTATACTAGACTTATTGACATTATTCATTAGGTCTATTATTTCCCCTGCCCCAAATTTTTCTCTCTGTTCTGTTGATTAAATAATTTATCTTCAAGTTCACTAACTCTTCCATTATCTTTTTTCTATTGTTAAAACCATCAAGTAGATTTTTCATGATGCAAGTATTGCATTATTCAGTTCAGTTCTACTTGCTCCTTTTACTTCTCTGCTAAGATCTTTTTGTCATTAATTCATTGTAAGAACATTTTCATTTACATTCTTAAGCATAATTGCTTAAGATAGTTGCTTTAAAATATTGTCTACTAATTCCAACATCTGGGTCATCTCAGGAATGGTTACAAACTGCCTTTCACTTTAGGAACTAGTCAGGATTTCCTATTTCTTTTTTTTTTTTTTTTTTAGAGTATTTTATTTTATTTTATCTTATTTTTTTTCAGTAACTTCTTTTTTATTTATTTATTTATTTATTTATTTATTTATTTATTTATTATACTTTGTATGTCCGCCAATTTTGAATTACATCATGGATATTATGAAAAATAAGTTGTAGACATTCTGGATTCTATTATATTCCTCTGAAGAGTACTAATCATGTGTCTGCATTTGTTTTAACAGGCACTTAATTTGGGTAAATCCATACTGAAAACTTTGTATCCCTATGGTGAGTGCTGGCTTAAATAATTTTAGTTCAGTTATTTACTGGGCTGCTTGGAATCTGCCCTCAAATGCATAGTTCAGGAGTCAGTCAGAAGTTAGGCCAAAAGTTATTCAGAGAATTAGGGATACTCTCTCTTTGGATTGCTCCTTTCCAAAATTTCTCCCCTCATTTTCCAGCAACTGTGGTTGCTCCAAATTCTCTTCTCTGGTTATTCAAACCAATAAGGCTACAGTTTTCTTACCAGTTTTGGCTGTCCTGCCTGGTGCAGCTTCAGGCTTGATTTCATAAAAGCCATAAAAATAGGAAACTCAGGTCATGCCATCTCCTTCTATACTTTATCTTGCACCCACATTCTTCTTGGAAAAATCAGAATATTCACACAGTGACTGTTTTTAAATCAAATGCAAATTCCCCAAGAGACTAAGCTCCAGTATTATTATTGATTGTTTCTGCTACACTCCTGGAGATATCATCCTTAAGCACTATACCAGGTTCCACATTCCTCAGAGCCTTTCCCATCAGGATCTGTGTTTAGTGGCTTCTTGTGGCTGCTGGGAAGATTTGGAAGCCCCAATCCTGGTCAGAGAAAGCAGAGATTCTGAGGGAAAAGAAAGTTCCAATGCCTATAACAGATTCAATCTTCCAGATTTGACTGAAACATAAAGTAGTAAGCCAAGCAACAATATGTGCAACAAAAATGTGCTGCAAATGGATTGCTAGGAAATTTGTTTTATATTTTAAAACATCTATGGCTGTCTGACTATGGCCCAATTAAACTGGCATTGTGAAGGGAATTCTGTATAATATTTAGCATTTCCAGTGACTCAGACATTAAGGCTGGGCATTTTTGTTTTTTATAAAGAGTTTTCTTTATTCTGACACGCCTATTGACCCTGTCATTCTTGCTTCTCACCTAAAAAATTTCTCAGTTCTCGGAATCTGTTAGGCTGTGTCTTTCATTCACTAAAGACATGTATTTGTGGACTTCCTTCTACTACCTACCATGGCCAAACTGTGAATTCAGGGTCACAGGCCCAACACTTTAAGTGAGAAGGTAGACTAATGTCTCCAAGAACCCTGTTTCTTCTTCAGTCAGCCTGAGAATAGAATCAAACCCAACTGCCTTATTAACCTTTGCTTCAGGAGTCAGACTGGTTCTCCACACTGTACATTATATAAATGTATCACATACATTCTTCTACAATTGTTTTGTACTATCAGGCAATTATTTGTGATGTCATAGTAATAGTTTTAAAAATACATTTTCTGACTTTCATTTTTTAAAATTTAATGTATCATTCACGCAGAAAAAGGCACAAATCTTGAGTGTTACAAGGTTTTCTATGAACATATATTTTTATTTTCTCTGGGGTAAATACTTAAGAGTGAGACTGATGGTTCATATGATAAGTGAATGTTTAATTCTATAACAAACTATAAAATTGTTTTCCAAAGTGACTGTACCATATTATAATCCCACCAGAAATATATGAGCATTCAAGCTGTTCCACCATATCCTCACCAACATTTGGTATTGCTTGTCTTGTTAGCTTTAGCCATTATAGTGGAGATGTAGTGTATCATATGTCTTTAATATAGTATAGCATGTAGCATGTCTCTAATGATTAATGATAATAAGCATCTTTACACATACTTATTTGCCATTCATCTATCTTCTGCTATAAGTGACCATTAAATCTCTTGCCCATATCTCAACTGGGTTGTTTGTTTTACTATTGAGCTGTAAGAATTCTTTACATATTCTGGATACAAGCTGATTTTTAGTATTATGTTTGTAAATATTTTCCCCCTCTCTTTGGCTAGCCTTTTCATTTTATTCATAATTATATTTTGGAGCACAAAAGTTTTGAATTTTGATAAAACCCAATTCATCGTTATTTTATTTTATGGCTAGTGCTTTGGTATACAGTGTGAGAAATCTTAACCCAAGGTCACAAAGATTTTATCATTTTCTCTTCTAGAAGTGTTATGGTTTTAGTTATTACATTTAGGTCAGTGATACATTTTTAGTTAATTTATATATATAAATATATTATAATATATAATACTATATTATTACATTATATATTATATTAGTTTATATATATTAGTTAATTTATATATATAAATATATTATAATTATATATTATATAAATATTTTATAATATATAAATATATTTATATATACTATAATATATCATATAAATATATATATTTATATGATATATTTATATTTATATTTATATTTATATGATATATTTATATTTATTATATTTATTATATATTATATATATTATATATTATATTTATTATATTATATTATATTATATTATATATTTATATTTATATATTTATAATATATATATATAAATATATATATTTATAAGATATATTTATAATATATATCATATATTATATATAAAATATATAATATATTATAAATATAATAATATTTATAATATATAATATATAATATACAAAAATATATATTATAAATATAATATATATTTATAATATATATTATATAATATATATTTATAATATATATTATATAATATATATTTATAATATATAATATAATATATATTTATAATATATATTATATAATATATATTTATAATATATATTATATAATATATATTTATAATATATAATATAAATATATATTATATTATAAATATAATAATATATATATAATATAATATATTTATATATAAATATATTATATATTATTACATATTTTATTATATATATATTATTACATATACAAATACATATAAATATATTATATATTATTACATATATAAATATATATTATTATATATATAAGTATATATATATACACACATACATATATAGAGAGTATAGGGTAAGGGTCTAGGTTCATGGCTTTATGTGTGGACATCCAATTGTTCTAACAATGGCCTGGGAACACAGGAAGCTTCTCTGCCACTCAGTGATCTGCAATCCCACCTTCTCCAATGAGATCTGAATGCTGGCCTTTGGGAGCTATCCCCCATTCAAAGTTTGTCTTATTTAGGAAGTCTCCCTTAGCCCCAGGGTATGATTTAGCATTCCTTGTGTATCTTATTCTGTACATCTTATAGTTACTCTTTTATTATGGCTTAATATGTCTTTATATTAAATTAATATAATAGACTAAAATCAACCAGGAATTACAGCGAATTGTGTTGAACTGTATTTTTTTCCTGATGAATTGATCCTTTTTTTATTAAGTCTACTTTGCATGATGAATTGATCCTTTCATTGTTAAGTCTATTTTGCATGTTATTGATATAGCCAAGCCAGTTTTCTTATGTGTATTGATTACATGATACCTCTTTTTCCATTGTGTTAATTTCAAACTATGTCATACTGAAAGTATGTTGCTTACAAATAGCATATATTTCATTTTACTTTGTAATACAGTTATCAATACAGTTAATTTAGTCTGTCATCTTGCCCTTTGTTTTCTATTTATGGCATTTATTTGCTGTTACTGCTGTTGTTCCTTTTCTCTCCTTTTCAACCTTCTACAGATTGGGTATTTCAGTATTTAGTATCTCTTGTACTGGATACCTGGCATACTTTTCTGTTTTATTTCTTAAGTGATTTCTCTTGGGTTTTGAATCTACCACAGTCTGTCAATTAATATTACATCACCTCATATATAATGTGAGAACCCTAAAAGAGTATTCCATAATTACCCTTCTCCCATTCCCTTTGCTATTCTTATTAAAAATTTTACTTTTAAATGTTTTAACTCCTGTTGTAGTACATTATTATTGTTTTTGTTTTAACCAGACAATAATGTTTTGAGAAATTAGGAAATGAAGAAAAATCTGTCTCTTATATTTTCCCACATATTTGCTATTCTCAGTACTTTCTAGATCTGAATTTCCATTTGGTATCATTTTTCTTCACCCTGAGGAACTTCCATTAGTAATTCCAATAATGCAGGTCTTCTGGAAAAGACTTTTTTTCACCCTGTTTGACTCTGTTTGACCAAAAAATTTCACCTTCATTTTGGAGAATATTTTCACTCTGTTTCACTCTGTTTGACCAAAAAGTCTTCATTTCACCTTCATTTTGGAGAATATTTTCACTGCAACTGGAAAAGAATCTGGGTTGACTCTTTTTTCTAGCAATTTAAAGATCTTATGCTATCATCTTCTGGCTTCTGTCATTTCTGATGAGAAGTTATTAGCAAATCTTGTGGTTCTGTTATATGTATCTTTTTCTCTATCCACTTTTACGATTTTATCTTTATCATTAGTTTTCAGCAATTATATTATTGCTTCTATCGTTATGCCTCTGTTTATACTGCTTAGAATTCATTGAACTTCTTGAATCTGTGGGTTATTTTCATCAAATCTGAAAAATATTCAACTGTTACTTTTTAAAATATATTTTCCTGTGTCAGTATTTCTCTCATCTTGTTCTGGTTTTCTACAGATATGTTAAACTGTCTTATTTTGCCCACAAGTCACTAAATCTCTGTTCATTGTCCATTTTTTGTCAGCCATTTTTTTCCTATATGCTTCAGTTTGCATAGTTTCCATTGTAGTGACTTTGAATTCAATAACATAATCTTCTATAATATCTAATCTGATAGTAAGCCCATTTAGCATGTTTTTCATATTGTGATTACCAGTTCTAAAATTTCCATTTTGTTCCTTTTCTTAACTCTCCATTTTCCTACTGATATTCTTATTTGTTTTCTATTTATGATCAAAGTTTTCCTTTAAAGCCATGAGACCATTTATAATAGATATTTAAAGTATTTGTATGTTAATTATATCAATTTGTTTTATTCTTTTTATTTTTCTTATAGATAGTGTTCATTTTGACTGTATTTGTTGGAGTCCAAGAAATGGCTACATCAGACAGGGATAGCTCATCTCCAGAAGAGATGGATCAAAGTCTCAATCAGATTTCCCAGTGTGGATGGCACTTCTATCTCCTCTTTCTCAGAAGAGAGGAATGAAAGTTTAGATTACCACACAAGCCCTGATGCTTTCTCAGAATTTTCCTCCATTCTAAACTTTTCCCCATCATAATGAGCTAGAGAGGCAACCATTAGTATAATTATCCATCATTACACTTGAGAAGAGTAAGCTTACTTCAAAAATTTTCCCAGTGGTCTTGCAAGAAAGGCATTTTTATCCTTATGTATTAGTCCATTTTTACACTGTTTTAAGAATTGCCCCAAACTGGGTAATTTATAAGGAAAGAGGTTTAATTGACTCACAGTTCAGATGGCTGGGGAGGCCTCAGGAACTTACAATCATGGCGGAAGGCAAAGAGGAAGCAAGGCACCTTCTTCACATGGTGGCAGGAAGGAGAAATGCTGAGCGAAGTAGGAAGAGCCCCTTAAACCCAACAGATCTCATGAGAACTCACTCACTATCACAAGAACAGCATGGGGGAAACAACCCCCATGATTTAATTACCTCCACCTGGTCTCTCCCTTGACACATGGGGATTATGGGGGCTACAATTCAAGATGAGATTTGAGTGGGAACACAAAGCCCAACCATATCACCTTATTTCATAAAAAACTGTCAAAAGCTGCAAACCAGGCCTGTCTTTCTCCAAATCTTATGCATTTGGTATTATGCACATTGCTTCTTGTCTCTAAATGGCTTGCATATGAATGATTGCTGAAGACCTACTAGATGGTCTTGATTTAATGCATGATCAGTGCTTTTCATAAGCTTACATACTATTGGATCAGAAGAAGTTCAACCTTAATTTCTGTTAGACTTGCCAGGTATCTAGTGTAGTCATCATATATATATTGTTATAAAATTTTATAGACATTTTTCTGATCCCATTTATGGTCAAGATTTCTTCCCTCAATTTTCTTTTCTTCTTTATTCAGAAATTCTACTGAGAAAGGGGCTTGATTCACCAGAATCTCCACTTCTCCATAGTATCCTTGGAATGCAAAATGAATTCCCTGAAAGAAACATAATTCCAGAAATAAATTCTAGAAAGAAGGTCAAGATATCACTACCTTTCTAATTTGGTAGGATAAGAGATACCCAAGATGCATTTGGTCTCTGATACTGATAACTCTTTCCACATATTTTTACACAGCCAACTAGCTAATATAGGTCAGTTAACATATAGCCTTTCTTAATGGAAAGAAATCATAGATTCAGTTCCCTGACCAATGAAATGTATATTTCTCTGGAGACATTTTTGCAGAAGAGGATATTTCTTACCCAAGGACTGCCATAGAATTTGATTCTTGCTTTGTCCTGTACTACATATACATGTACTTGATTCAGTCTGATCAGTGATCAGTCTGATTCACTCAGATGTCTGCCACCCTGAGCTTCAACTCCCCCGAAGTACTGCAGAAAGTGTGCATTTTAGACCATGCTCTTCTTGGCTGTGATATCTTTCCTTAACGGTTGAAAGATTTTCAAGAAAGCCTCACAAGATGAATCAGTTGTTGTCCCATATTTAGCAAGACCTGGAGATTTTTCTGTAAATCTATTCTGTAAGGTTAGCTCTTGATTTGCAATGAGGTTAGGCTATTAGATATTCTAATAAGAACCCGACTTGTACATTCCCATTAAAGATTAATTTGGCTGCCTTGCAACATCTGTGTTCTGCTGACTCCTATCTGTTCCCTAGGCTGCAGGGCCAAACTCATCCATCATCACAGACAGGCACTTGGAAGCCACCCCTTGATGTTGCTTTCAGGCAGGGAGATTCCTAGAGTAGCCTGTCCCAAAGGCTTTAACTCAGAAGCCCCTTTCCAGGCTTCCCCACTCACCTTTGGGGCTGAATCTTGTAAAGGCACCAACATAGCTGAGTACTTGAAAGCACAGCAAATGGGACATGCTGAAAGGTGGCTTTGCAGAGGCATTACAGCCACTTGGAATCTGGAGACATTTCTACCATAGCGTCTTACCCAAAATAGCACTTGCTGAAATTTAACCTGAGGACTGTTGTCAAAAACAAGTGTGAGTATTTTAGTTAATGCTTGGCAGACAGCCCATTTGTGAGCATGAGTTCACCCCAAGACCCAGTGAGAGGGTTTCTAGAGCCTGGTTGCATCCTGGGCTTCTGCCCTAAAATTTTCCTTGCTTGTTGACAGAGTGCAGCAGGTGAGCAGGGAACCGTTCGAAGTGTGCAGGTAGGAGTCTCCCAGGAAGCTGAGAGAAATCCCACTGGCCTTGGCAGTCTTCAGAGCCACCACTCCACACACTGGGCACAAACATCCCAAAAAGGCTCCCTGCATAGGCATGGCTGATTACCCAATGTACAATCTGCTCGTGGTGCCCAGACTCTCAGAGGTAGAACCTTGACCTGCTATCAACTATGCCTATTACAGATAGGTCACCTGCTGCAGGTACAGGCAGCTATGACATACAGCTGCAAGTGCAATACATAATTCAAGTGAAGAAATGCAATCAAAGATGCAGCAGACAGCTTAGGGAGGTAAGAAGTTTCCTGAAAATTGAGGGAATCAAACTCTGGCTGATAAGGATAAGGAAATTGTACAGAAACGTCAAGCATCAGATGAATCATTTGAAAAGATTGTCTTTGAGAACTCTCTCAACTTGGAGATAGCATAGTCTCAGAATTCTAAGAATCCTCTATTACAATGGTGTATCACATGCATCCTCACTCTTGGTGTCTCAATTAGAGTATATAAAAAAAGCACAGAAGGCATTTCTGCACTTTTGCATAAATTGACTTGTTTGTGTGCAAAGGTGCATACACAGACAAGTGAGGATGAGTAATGAGTCTGTAAAACTTCATGTTGTAGTTTAAGTGATTGGATAACTCCTAAAACTAGAACACAAAAAGCCATTTTTACAGCACTTCTCCTTCTTTGTTTTGTTGAACTGAATAAATAAAGAAGGCTCCCTAAATAAAATTACGCTTGGGAAAAAAAATGAGAAAAAACTTAGAAGATTACAAAAGAACATTGAGTAAGCGCAGGGCATGAAATAGCATGCTTACTTCTCAGAAATTTCACTGTGCTCGTTAAAATACAGAAGGAAGAGAGGAGGAGGCTGGGAGTAGGAAAGCCATTCCCTGACTACAATTGTCATTCACACAGCGTACATAGGATTGAGTTGTTTCGTGGATATAAGTATACGGGCCCTTTCCCAGTCCAGTCTGCTAGTGCATCTGCTGCTTCTAGGCACCGAGTGATTTAATGCCCACTCCACTTAGTTTATTTACTACCTCTTACTCTCTTTAAGTGAACCCAGGGGCCTTCACTCAGGCATGGATTAATGAGGGAGCATTCACTGTACTCCTGCATTGAAGAAAGAGAAGAAAGTTATGAGGAAGCAAGAAAGTGAAGCAAGCAGGTAACATAGATGACAAAGTTAAGTCTATGTAATATGACCTAGTAAAAAGAGCTGAGGAAAGCACTAGGACGTCCCTCTTGCCTCAGAGGACTTTTGGAGAAAATAAGTAAGACTGAGTTAATGGGGCAGACACTTAGCTGACTATGCAATGCTTCTTTTCATTATTAGAAAACATTATGTCGACTGCTTCAGAGTTTTGCTTATTCCCTATTTTTCGGCATGTGTTGGAAAGGGGGTAAAGTGCACATTAAATAGCCTTTAACAACTCTTACCTTGCTGTAGTGGGTAAGATGCATATTCACTAATTATAAAACTCATGATTGTATCAGCTATTTTTCAAATGCCTTCTAAAATCTCTGGTTAATATATTATACTGAATAAGCCTAAATGCAATTGTACTGAGAGTGTTGATGCAATAAATTAAGTCTCAAATACCAGAATTCACTAATTACCTTCACTCTGGCCAAATCTGCACAGTGAACTATTCTGAATAATAAATCAGCTTTACCCATTGTTTTCAGTTGCCCTAAACAATTATAGTAAAGTGCACTTAATGATAAAAATAATCAAGACCAATAGTAGTATCTACCATTTATTCTGGCAGGCACTTTAAAGGTATCTCTAATTCTCACAACAACCCTGAAAATTGCTATTACCCATTTTACAGCTAAGAATACTGAAGCAGAGAGATGTAAAGTTCCTTGACCAAAGTCACATAGCTTTGTATGTGGGGAGCCATATCTCCTTCTATATTACTAGCATGCTGGGGAGCCATATCTCCTTCTATATTACTGTCTTCAGGCCGACTAACATTTCTTGAATAAAAAGACAATCTTTACAGGATATGTGTATAAGCACTGCTGGGCAGATGGTGACCTCATATATCATACAAACTCTGACCTCATCACCCCTGAATAAGCCAAGGAGCCCTCAGCTGTGCCATCCTGGCTCAACAGAAATGTGGAGGAAAAGGTGGCAACACTTTGGCAGCCATGACCTTTATCCACGTCCCAAGTATATGTGTACATTCTGTCTGCTCTCTCTCTTAACTTACATGAACAAAGGCCAGGGAGAAATATACTTAAGTTCAAAGAAAAGGCTTCCTTGGCAGCTAATGATCTTACAGAGTCTCAACAAATTCTAGAGGCCATGACCTCTCAAACCTATGGAGAGAGGTACTAAGGCCCATCGTGTCATGAAACTCAAGGTCACACTTGTGGAGTATGTGGTTTGAGATTTATGTTGATCCAAGTGCTAAACACTTGTTACTGAAAGTGTCTTCTATGGAACAGCAATCTTACTTTGGACCTTGTTAGAAATCCAGAATCGTAGGCTCCACCTCAAACCTACTGAATCAATCTATATTTTAACAAGATCCAGTAATATTTATATGTAAACTGAAATTTGAGAAGCGTTGCACTACGAGACAGGCCTACATGAAGAGTCTAAAATGCCGGTTCTGAACTAGACAAGTTACCAGGTTCCTAGGAAAGTGCCATGGAAATCTGTTTTTATGGTCTATAAGTATAAGAACTGCTAAAAGGCAAACACGTTTTTAGCAAATTTAGCTCCTGAACAATGTCTTGACTCACATTATGTAAGGGCCAACACGTCTTTCAATGGTTCGGGCATCAGCAGCTCTAAATTTTATAGCCTAGAGAAAGTCTCAAAATGATTTATAGTGTATTCATGGAAGGGGAGTACATCTTGCTTCACTAGTCCCATTTCTGACTGTGAATTTCTTGATTTTCTTAATATTTAAATTTTATTAGAAGTGTATATTTAGAAATATATAAGGCCTTTTGTATGACTTTTCCCCCAATGAATATAAAATCAGCCAAAGAAAAAATAAGCACCATGAATCTATGTTTTATATTTAAGACAATTTGGTCACTTTAATCGTACAAGGTAAAACACAAGGGAGTACAAAGGTACACATCATTATATGGAATCTAGCTGTCTGTAAGCGTAAATAGCTGTCAAAAACATTGAGGCCAGGATGGCCACAGCATTGACTCAGGAACCACCCCAATTTTGGGGATCCTTGATGAGGCAACTTGGAGGGCATCAGACAGAAGAAATTGTTCACTCCTCCAATAGTTCACTAAGAAGAGGAGATGAAATCACACAGGTGAGTCTCCTGAGAAGTAATTATGTAAGCCAATAAAAACTTTCCACTATTAGAAAAAGATACAAATATAATAGAAGAATCAGAGGAATAAAAAAGGGAGGGAAGTGAAGAGGAATAGGAAGGAGGGAAGAGAAAACAAAAGAATAAAAATGCACGTATGAAGCGATTACTTAGAACCATATACTGTGATAATATATGTTATCTCACATTATTATACATGATAAAATTGAGGCCCAGAGTTTTAATAATTTTCCCAAGGTCAAGTAGCTTGTAAGTTCTAGTACAGAATTTTTAACTCAGATTTACAATAGCATCTAGAGGGAGTATTTTTTAATTGTGTGCTGATTATAGAATCACAAGGCCATTGTATTTTCAAACTGAAAAACATGTTACAGAACAGAGCACTGAAAACCTGAGACACCCATAATTCAAGTGACTGGTGAATTTAAAATAACTGCCTGTCAGGAATTTGTCCAAGACCACACCGTAGGTAGGCAGCACCAAGAAAGTATCAGAGCTGTTTTCAGACACATCACTCTATAAAAGAGGAGGCTATTGGGTAAAGAGAACAATTGTTGAGCAATATAGTCACTTTCCTGGTTTGAGAAAGTTTGCTTAGAAGTTCAGGGAACTGGTTTCCACATGATTGAAACAAACTCCAAATTTGACTGAAACCAATTTAGGATTTGCAGGTGTCCAAAACTTAGCCAATTCTAAAATTTGTCCAGAGGAAACTGGCTTACTCAAAGTCAAATGTGACTTCCTGTTTTTAAGAAATAAGGCTTAAAATGCTAGTTTAAAAGGCTCATTGAATTTCTTGGCCATTATATAGCTTTAGAAAAACAGTCTATTTTGATGATATAAATGTAATTGAATAAGAACCATATGGATTGCATTCCCCCTTCTAAACTACACATGAATTAGAAATTAAGTCTTTATTCTCCTCACGTAATTAATGAGAAAATTGATTAAATATGGTACTGGCCTTGATCACTATTTGGAGCTCACACTGCCTCTGTTTTACAGGTAACTGTTAGGGGTGAGCACAGCCCAGGTTTAGGAACCAAGACACCAGCTGAATCCCATACTCAGTAGCTCACTCACATCCCTTTTTGTCTTAAGCCAGTTTGCTTTTGTTCCTCCCAACTTATAAAACCTATTTTCTCATAAGAATCACTACCAGCCTGTTCACAGTGCAATGCTTCTGCTCAAACCCCTTTTCCTTGGGCCCTGAAAGGGGCAGGGGGCACAGGCTGTTCTGACTCCTGATGTTGGGACAGAGGCAGAAGGCTGGGAACCTGTGGCAAGATGAGCACATCTGACTAAAGTACCTCTCCATGCTTTCTCACTCACAAGGATATAGTCCCTTGAAAGTATTATTCTCAGCCAACTGGCTTAATGTATTTCTTAGTTACCCCCGGCCAGTCTAGTTCAGAATCACCACACCTGTCTTCTTACATAGCAGACATAAGAGATACAAAAAGCAGGCTTTTCTCTTTTCAGCACCACTATTTTACATTTTAATCACTATTTCTGATAAAGGCATTAATATTTGCTGAGCTTCTACCTCTTTACCAGACTCAATAAAAGTCATTTTACTTGCATTAGTTTACCTGATTCTCACAACCACCCTTAAAGGGAAGGTAGGTATTATTAACCTCATTGAATTGATGAGGGACCTAAGCCTTGACGAGGTGAAGTAACAGGCTCAAAGCTGCATAGATGGTAAGTGACAGAACTGTATTTCAGACCCAGTTCTAAATGACTCCAAAGTCCACTTTCTGCACCACACCACCATCCTCTTTCTTTTAGGCATTGATACAGATTCACATAAGCCTCCTGTCCTTCTCTGTCACTGTTTAATTTGAAAAGTACAGAAGTCAGCGAAGAGATGAGCTGGGATCGCTGATGCAGATCTAGGAAAATAGTAATTGGTTTCTCCAGGCAGCCCTGCTTGAACTTTCCCAAAATAATCAAGAAGCAATTGAAAACCATCTTCTGTTTCACCTTCTTCAGCTTCTACAACTTTTGTGTATGATACTTTTCTGCAAATTTTACAATTTTAAATTCAGAACAAGATATATGGAGGTATTATTGTGTGGGTTTGATATCTATTACTTAAAAACAGTTGTTCATTTGTAAATTCTTATTGAGAGATTACTATGCATTGAAATTTAATGTAATGATAGAAACCCATAAATGTTTATAAATAATGCTTTCAAAATTCACAATATTCCATATATACACTATCATATATACATTATGTATACTAGTACACTACCTACATGCACATATAAACATTACTCTGTTGAACTACTTATGCACAAGAAAACAACACATTTTTATACAATTCACCTCCTCATAAACAAACACACCCACATGAACACATGGAAACAATATGCAGTCAAACACATGCAAAGAGATTTGCAAATGCGCTCACAAGCAAATCTGTAAAAAATGGAAAAATCATATGCTCATTCACACTTCTCTCTCTCCCCCCCCCCCTTTCTTCTTTACTTCCCCCCATCTCTGTCTCTCTCATAAGGGCACACACACATTGAAACCTTTAAACTAGCAACTTCTTCAAATGGAAATACTGAGCTGAAGAAACTCTTTTGATTCAAAATCCACCCTCTCATAGGCCTGAGGAATAAGTCTCTTCACAAGTCAATTCTCTGATCACTCTGGGCATGCTACAGGATCTCCATTTGAAACATTTGTGTTTTCATAAGGAAACTCTGTTCACTCTAGACCCTTAAAATTCTTTCTAAATTCTCAAACTTGCTTCCTGTATCCAATGTGATGTTTATCCAAGAGAAAATCTTGCTTTGTTCTCTCTTCTCTGCTACTGCTTTTCCCCTTCTCCTCCCTCCCCTCTTTTTAGTGGTGATAGTGAGAAATTCCAGAAAAGAATATTTTAAGGGGACAGCTCTGAAATTTACCAAAAAAAAAAAAAAACCCACGGAACACTTTATGAAGCACCTTCTTTAAGTCATGGTGAGAATAATAGTTTCAAACTTCAGGAGATGGTGTGAGAAACTTATCCAGATACAGTAATAAAATACAGTTGACCCTTGAACAACATGGGGGTTAGGGACACTGACCTCCACCCACAGTTGAAAATCCACATTTAATTTTTGGCTCTCCAAAAATTTAACTGCTGATAGCTTACTGCTGACCAGAAGCCTTAGAAATAACAGCAGTCGATTAACACCTATTTTGTATGTTATATGTATTATATACTGTATTCTTACAATCAAGTAAGTTAGAGAAAAGAAAATGTTATTAAAAATAACAAAAAGAGAAAATGTATTTGTTATTCATTAAGTGGATGTGAATCATCATAAAGGTCTTCATCCTTATCATTTTCACATTGTGTAGCTGAGGAGGAGGAGAAGGGGAAGGTTTGGTCTTGCTGGCTCGGGGATGGCAGAGGCAAAAGAAAATCTGCATATAAGTGGACCTGTGCAGTTCAAACTCGTATTGTTTAAGGATCAGCTGTAATGTGATATTATATGAAGTTTACTTTAAAAGAATTGCAAAGAAAAAAAAGAGAATAAAGAGTGAAGACAGAGGGTGAGCTGCTATGCCAGGGGAAGGCAGGAAGGTCTTTACAGACTAGGTGGCATTTAAAATGAGTCTTTGAGCACCACTAGCTATTACCAGGAAAAAAATAACTAGAAGAGCTTCCTGAGTAGAGTAAACATCATGTATACAGGCACAGAAGAAGTGAATGCAGATCATGCCTGGGAAACATTGAACAGCTTAGTGTGGCTGGAGTTATGAAGGAGGATTTCAGAGGTTGTGGCAAAGGCAAGATTGAAGTGGTAGCTAAAAGACAATAGCTAGAGAGTCTGGACTTTTTGGTTCTGCACATAATGAGCGTCAATCCAGGGCTTTATACAGAAGGGTCCTATGATCAGATTTTGGTTTAGGAAAGATAATCGCTTCTTCAGTGAGAAGGATGGAGAAACCAAAGTCAAGGAAACCAGCTAGAGGATTATTGCCAAAATAACAGGGAGAGAAGGGCATGTGCTAATGCAGTGACCCACTTAATTATATGCCCAAGCCAGAAACTCGAGTCTCCTCCAAACTCTTCCATCCCACCTTCTTTGCCATCCATCATCACCACTTCCTTCTTATTTATTACCAATATCTACATGAGTCTGCCTTCTACATTTCCCCTAAATGCACTGCCTATTTGACATCCTACACTATTTCACCACCCCCTACCCACCACCAAGACTAATTTGGTCAGTTCTGTTCCAAACTTAAAATTATTATATGGCATCCCCTTGCCTTAAAGTCCAAGCCTGTCAACAAGAAACACAAGACCCTGCCTACATCTGCAGTCTCATTTCCAACTACTTACCCTCCAGTTACATCAGTCATCTTGGTCTCTTTCACTAATTGCACACTGTCTCTCCTTGAATGCATGATTGGATGAATGAATAAATGAGCCAGGTGCTAATGTATGTGAAAATACCTTGTAAACTATAAACTTCACAAATGTGAGTTCTTATACAGGTTATATGGTTATTTTCTGACTCTCTCAATCTATTGCACTCTGACTGAATTTTGGCAACTTCAGGTGAAGCCCAAGAGGAAATATGTGGCGTGTGCCTTGGGGGAAGCTGTGAGGGCAGGCACGGAGAGCGAAATCTAAGGGGATGTCCAGAGCCCATGGGCCTGGAACAGAGAGCTCCCTGACTGCTAACAATCCAGTTCTCACCCTTAAATTTCCAATGCTCAGCAGTAAGCAAACATGAATATTTTAAGCAGCCCATAAATCTTCTTGGAGCCAGGGTGCTGAATAAGTCCTAGGAAAGTGGTAATGGTAGAAACAGGATCTCCTCTCTGGAAGTAGTTTCTTTCAGTGCCAGCTTTTGCCCCTGTTAGCTGCTAACACACATACCCCAGCTGCCTCAGTGAGGCTCATATTCCAGTAAAATAGGGCAAATGGAGGGACAGAGACCAGAAAGAGCTCCCTGGAATCTCTGAGTTTCCTAATTTGGGAACTCTCAATGGGTGATGTCACCCCCTTCAAGAGTTTTCATGTTGGAGATCAGTCACTGAGGTCTGGAAGCCCACAGAGACATGAATTCCAGACTGAAAAACCAGGCCAGAGTCATTCTGCTTCTGCTTAGCAACCCATAATGAAAAAGGGAAAAAAAAATCCCACAAAGATTTCGATAAATTTGACCACAGAATTTAACCTGAACTTTCATTAAGCAGATTTTTTTTTAACCATACTTTGATGAGATGGAAAAACAGAAACATCTTTATTTAAAAATGTTTCGTGGTTTGAGACTTTGTCCAGGAGGCCTGTGATTCTCAGAGTAGCGTAAAGGAAGAGGGTCACAATCTCGGCAGAGCTAGACCTTCTCTCTGCTCATGTCACCTGCTTCACTCCCTCGGTTTAGCATCTATCCATTTATTCTAATTATTTTTCTATATGCCTGTCCTTGATGAAAGGGACTACCATATACCTTGCTTATCCTTTACTGATTGCTCAACAGTCATTAACATACAATACGCATTCAGTAAGGATTTGCCCTATAAATTTTTATATTGAGTTCACTGATTTATGTAACAAAGGTTATCACCAAGATGTGATTTTTTTGCTCAGTACAGCTTTAAAGACTATTTGCTAATCTCCAACATGAAAACTCTCAAAGAAGAGGGTATACCCCCTGGCTACATACCCAGAGTAATGTAAGGTTTGAACTGCTGGTAGGTATAATGGATCCAATACACCACAATATTCACCACTCAAGGTTGGATTGGCCCAGCTTGAGGCACATTCTACCCAAGGGCCAGTGTGCTATGTTGAGGGGATAGGGTCAGAGAGTTGTAAATATGGCCTGAAATGGGAGCCAGAAGTACTTTTCGGAGAATAATAGCAAACAGCTCTGAAGACAACTAAAAAATGTGTCAACCACAGACTCTAAGTTTTATCTATATATATATATATATATATATACACACACACACACACACACACACACGTATGTATACATATATATGCATATGTGTATATATGTATACGTATATATATGTATGTGTATGTATGTATATGTATATATGTATGTGTATATATGTATACATATATGTATGTGTATATATGTATACATATATATGTATACATATATGTATGTGTATATATATGTATACATATATATGTATGTGTATATATATGTATACATATATATGTATGTGTATATATATGTATACATATATATGTATGTGTATGTATATATATGTATACGTGTATATGTATGTATACGTGTATATATATGTATATGTATATATATATATATTGGTGGGTTCTAGGACTAGAAGTTCATGCAGTTTGCTTAGCTGAGGGGTGTGGGTGTGTGTGTTATTTTTTAATATTTTACTAAATCTCCAGGCAGAATCAGTTTTTCCCTCTCCTTTGTCTCCATATTGCCCTGTATCCACTTTTAATAGAATTATTAGCAAATTGCATTGCAAGTATTTATTTACAGATTAGCCTCTTCCATTAGACTGTGCTATCATGAACTAATTCATTTTTGTCTTACCTGATATCTCTCGTCCTTAGCACTGTTCCTTGGAAGTACAATAACAAATAAGACAGAATCCTTTCCTCAAACTGCTTATATTCCAGTGAGGAGGTCAATTGTTCAAAAAATTACAATTTAAAGTGTAATCTAAGTAAATTTAAATATATCAAAACAATACAATGGGGCCGGGCACGGTGGCTCACGCCTGTAATCCCAGCACTTTTGGAGGCTGAGGTGGGTAGATCACCTGAGGTCAGGAGTTCAAGACCAGTCTGGCCAACATGGGTGAAAACCCATCTCTACTAAAAATACAAAAAGATTAGCTGGATATGGTGGCAGGCGCCTGTAATCGCAGGTACTTGGGAGGCTGAGGCAGGAGAATCGCTTGAACCGGGAGGTGGAGGTTGCAGTGAGCCGAGATTGCGTCATGGCACTCCAGTCTGAGTGACAAGAGCGAAATTCCGTCTCAAAAAAACAAACAAACAAATAAACAAAAAATACAATGGAATCTCAGTAAAAGAAAGTCAGTTAAGACGTGTTCAGTGAGAAAGGAAGTAGTCTTTAATCTGGGTTTTTAAGAAAGGGTAAGATTTCAACAGACTTGGAGCCCTTTAAGTCTGTTCTAAGATTCATTTATTTTAGCCAAGGAAACATACTCTCCTGAAGAGTGTCCTGGGCTGCTCTGAGGGCTCCTCTGTTGAGGTAGTGTTACCAGTAGGAGAAACCGCCTGTTCATTAAGGGAGAATTAAACCCAGCCACCTTTCCCTAAACCCCCTGTTGGGAATCACCTTTATTTGCTGTTGCGGTTAAAGTGATCTTGTCAGGTTGTTTAGGCCTTTAACATGACTGATCTTTTACAGTTGTGTTTTGGGGCAGGAAATGGCCAGACCCCACCCTGAGCACTCTGTCTTTTTTAACAAAAAGCAAAATCCATCATTCCAACAATGAATCTCTTTTCTCGTTATAAAGAAACATTTAAGAACAGAAAACCCATATAAGAAACTTGAAAAAAAAAAGGGGTTACTTTCAAAATTCTGGCTTTACTGAAAATTAGTCATAAGGAAAACAGCTCAATTTAACCTTCAGTTCTGGGAATTAATTAACAATTTGATGTTTATGGATAAGTAAAATTAGGACTATAACCTGGTATATGAATCCAGATTTAATACTAAATGCAATAAGAAGGTTCATGCCTTAAGATGTGGACCTTCTTGATTAAGAAGGATGAAGCTTGGATTGCAGTAATTCTGTGAAGAAAAACTAAATAGAAATACATTTCCCTTAATGTGATTATGTCTCTATTGGAGCATTATGGCTGGATATAGCCTAGAAAATTCTATTACACATTCATTAAAATGGATTTTGTTCAGGGTTTGAGAATATAATAAATTATCTTAGGACTTAGCCCCAATATAACCTGCCACTTATCTCCCAAGGAGCTTTCTTAGGCTGCTCAGTAAATATATTATCCCTTTTCCCCCACATGCCCATCCTCAAGGGAAAAGTAAAGAAAAAATAATTAGGTGCATAAAACCCTTCCATGGAAACAACACAATTTTAGGAGAATCAAAAATCTCACATTTTAAGGAAATGAAGAATGATATCAATATACATATTATGATACAAATTTTGAGTGAAATTAGCCTTCAGAATTGTTTAACCTAGTTTCCTGCCTCCCAGTAGTATAGCCTGTAAGAAGACTTAATTGCCTAAACTCCCTGACAACTTATTTTGTAGTTTTGGGGTGAACATATAAGGCAGAATGTGAATTTTTCCTCAGTTGAGAAATCAAGAAGTAGATTTTTATGCTACTGCAATAGCTTCTCCCAGTCTTTCTGGTTATATAATTATATAATGTGATGAAATAGAATTAAACTCAATGGAATATAAATATAAAAATATATTTTTATTGTTTACACCAAGAAATTACTTTAAGTGCATAGAAAATAATCAGTAAAAGTAAGTCACAAAAAATTGCTGAGGGCAAGACTGTGGAAGATGGCGGAAACTTTTGTAAAAACACAGAAGGCTTCTCCCCTCAGATTAAAGTATCCTCAAATTCTCACTATATTTTATAGAAACTAAGTGGAAAGAATGGAAATGAGAGATGCTGCTTTATGGTGACACAGAACTCATACTCAGGGACCCATATTTGATGAAAACATCTTGGCCCACTTCAAAAGACTGGCATATAAATACTCCTTCATATTTTGAAGATCAAAATAAAATATATAATGTTCATCTGTATCATTTTTTATGATTTCCCACTTAAACTGGCTTTTTTTTATTACCAGAATAATATTTCCAATTGTATTGGATAAAGATGACTTTTAATGAGTTTCTTTATATAACAGTTAATAAAGTTGGAAGTGCTCCTCATTTCCTAAGGTAGTACAGACTAGACTTTGAAAGTTTTTGGAAAAAAAATCAGGCAATGGAACAAAAGGTCACTCTGAAGCAAAAAGACACCTGTGCCTTAAGTTTGATATGATAATACCATCTCTTAGAACTTTTCTGGCAAAAAGAATACTAGAGTAGATGAATCACATAATATCCATCAACTTTTAGCAATATCTCAACTCACTTCCACTGAAGATGGACATCCATTCCTCTACCTTTCCTTATACCTCTTTATTTCCCATCTGCCATTTATGACGTTTCTTTTATATTGAAAAGTTGTTAAAATTTATATTCTGATCCATAACATTAAGTATTTGGTGTTTCACCAATAAAGCAATTCTAAAAGTTGTAAACCAACAAATAATGTTATTATGTGGCTCATGCCTGTAATCCCAACACTTTGGGAGGCTGAGGCAGGATTGCTTGAGCCCTGGAGTCCAAGACTAGCTTGGGCAATTTAGTGAGATCCTGTCTCTACAAAAAATAGAAAGTTAGCTGGGTGTGATGGCACAAGCCTGTAGTCCCAGCTACTCAGAAGGCTGAGGCTGGAGGATCCTTTGAGCTCAGAAGGTTGAGGCTACAGTGAGCCGTGATCACACCACTGCACTCCAGCCTGGGTGACAGAGCAAGACCCTGTCTCAAACAAACAAACAGACAAATACTATTATGAGTATGTGACTATTGTTCCTTATAATAATAGATTTACCAGATTTAGCAAATTAAAATAAAGCATTCCCAGATAAATTTGGATTTTAGATGAATATCAAACAATTTTTTGTGTAAGTATGTTCTATGAAATATTTGAGCCATACTTATACTAAAAGATTGATGTTTGTCTAAAATTCAAATTTAACTTGGCATCTGTATTTTATCTGGTAATCTGCCTACACAACAATGCTTTGTGCAAGGATTATATTTTCTTCATTTATCTAATGCCATGACCCCTGGTCCATTCAAAATAAAATATATCTAGATGCAAAGTCAAATAGATAATCTTTTCCTAAACACTATCAATTATTTAAATCCCAATAGATTCCTTATTTAAAATCAGTCCAACAAAATGAAAAGTTTTGTTCAGGACTCAGTATTATGTTCTTAATCTCTTTGGACATTCTGAAACCATATGCTAAGTTTTATGATCTCTCATCTTAAAAATGAACAGGTTGGAGTATTTGTGTGTTTTATCATACACACACAAACTTTATTAAACACCTTTTAAGAAAGTGGTATTTTATACACATCCCCTGTTTAATAGTTGCTCCCCTTCTTATAGCCCTTTTTTGGTATCCCATTTCAATTTAAGATAAAGTGTAAAATCCATGAAGTGATCCACACCACTCTGTGTAATCTGGATAGGCTTGTTCAGTCTTACCTAGTGGTGGTATTTTTCATTTTGTTCGTGTCTTTTTTACTGATCTTTTGTTTCTGGAAACTTAGTCGTTCTTTTTTTTTCCACTAATGCATTTTGTTTTCTCTGATTGCTTTAGAATAATCTTTTCGTTCACTTGACTTCTTTTTCCTGTCAGTCTGCTTTGAGGAAATCCACGTGTTCAATACGATTACTCTAAGTTTGACCCATACCAAAAGTTGTTTAATCCAAATATCTTAGCAGCAAACTCCAAATATCTGAGCAGCAAACTAAACTCAGTCATTCTTTAGTACCACCAAAGGGATTCTTCCCTTTGCCCAATACATGATCCTACCCCATTGCCACTCTCCTTTTCTTCACTTCTCTAATTCCCACTCATCCTTCATCTCTGCCTGATACTACCTCAGAAATACTTTTTACTTCATTTATCCTATCACAAAATCAATTATATTTATTTGTGTGATTATTGATGTCTGACCTTCCCAGCAGAGAGGCTATAAATTCTGTCAAGTAAATAACCATGTCAGAATGCTTCTCTACCATACAGCCACCTCTTAGCATGGTGTTGTATTAGTTTGTTCTTATGCTGCTGTGAAGAAATACTTGAGACAGGGTAATTTATAAAGGAAACAGTTTTATTTGACTCACAATTCTGCCTGGCTGGGGAGGCCTCAAGAAACTTACAGTCATGGTGGAAGGGGAAGCAATACATCCTTCTTCACATGGTGGCAGGACAGAGAAGAATGAAAAGTGCCAAGCAAAAGGGGAAAATCTCCTTGTAAGACCCTCAGATCTCATGAGAACCTACTCACTAGCATGAGAACAGCATGGAGGTAACTGCCCCTATGATTCAATCACCTCCCACTGGGTCCCTCCCATGACACACAGGGATTATGGGAACTACAATTCAAGATGAGATTTGGGTGGGGTCACAGCCAAACCATAACCATATCAGGTGTCTTCTACACAGTAAACATATATATGATGTATTTCTTAAACGAATGGATAGATGTATGAAAAAAGAATGGTTATAGGATAAGGGTGATATTGTTTTCATCACCACTTCACAAATTAGAAAAATGGAGTTTTGGAGAAATTAAATAATTTATTTACTTAGCTCATGAATGGGAGTCACAATTGAAATCTACATCTGTCCATTATCTCTTTCTATTATTGCTACTCTCTAAAGTCCATTCAAGTTGAACAACTAATGATTATATGATTTATAATCTTGGTAATAAAACTATAGTTGGGAAAAATAATTGTATCAGTTGGTTTTAGCAAAACTGTATTTTCAGACATTAAGCAATGTGTCTTGGGAAAGTTGCAGAGGAGTAGGACTTCCCTGTGGTTTGGTGAGAGGGAGGGGTAGACTAAGCCACCAGAGACAGCACCTGGAACAGAAGACAGTTTTATGCCCACACACTGAGTATCTGGCTTCCAGATGGATCTGGGGCACATATTTGTTTTTGCAATTTCCCCCACTCCTCCTCATCTCCTCATTTGCCACCCTCCTTTCAGAGGAATTTAAGGATGGGCTTTGTACTGTGTTGCATCCTTTTTTCCTTTTTAAGCCCCACCCTCTAGTTCCCTTCCACAGTGACTGGGAGTGACAGACCTTTCCTGTGTTGGAATTAAAGGGAAAATGATATCTAACTGATTCACTCAGCACCCTTCAGAATAGACACCTGGCTGTTTCTACAGCTTTGGGTAAAGCCTAACGTGTTTAGTTGGGACAATAGTAGCTCAGTTCATCCACTTGGACCAACCACAAGTCCTGTGTGCTGAAACTGCCCAGTGTTAACTTTCCAGTGATCCACATTCCACAGGCACTCCCTGGAGGATACTCCAGGACTGTTCTGTTATGGCAGGCCAGGAGACTCTGACTTAGGGAGCATGTGTGGCCATTCTGTTGAAGCTTTTCAAGGATAATATTTTGTAGCCTTTTTATTTAGGCTTTTTAAGGATTAAGAAAGAGCTTCAGTATCTTTTTCCAAAGGAAACATTTATACTTTTTCAGAAAGTGGTAATTGTCTCATTTTTCACTAACCCCAGGGAGGAGTATGGAATGAGCCTAGCAGGGGTCTGTCTTCTATTATTGTTCTTAATCTTCAGACATCATAACTTTATAGAGCTTGATGAGATAGCTCCATAAATGAATCTAAGTACATCTTTGAACACATTCCAGGCTCTGCTCCCCATTCTCATCAACCAGACACTTCGAGGAAGACACTTGCCTCCATCTGTCTACATTATGGGGGTATGGGAGGGAAGACTCTGAAAATGTCAAGAAAAAGTTGCAGCAAGGATGGTTTATATGAACTAACATCTAGTGTTTTCCTCTGCCCTAAGTGTTCAGGCTAAAAATATCAGAGATTACATTGTGAGCAAAAGAATATGGAGTATAAATTATTGTCCCTAATTGTTTATAAATTACTGGGGAAAGAGACCACATCCCATCTTTCTTTCACCCTTGCTATCATGGTAGATTGTTATTGTTATAAATATTCAGTGTTTCTTCATGTGAAAGGATGATATATTCTTGCACTGTTGGTGTTAGGGTTCGCTATGTTGCTTGCTTTAGCCAATTACATATGAGCAGAAGTGACGTGTGCCACTTCTGAACATAAAGTTTAAAAGCCATCACACAATGTTCTCTTTTCTCTTTGCCACAAGACGAGAAATAATCCTGAAAAGTATTTTTTCTTTAGTCTGAATCCTGGAAAGAAGATGAAGTGGAGCAGAGCCATAGCTGACCTGCAATGGATATAGCTTGAAACAAGAAATAAATGCTTGTTTTAAGTAAGTGATATTTGAGAGTTGCTTGTACTGCAACATAATTCAGTCTGTATTCCCTGATCCAGCTGACCTCCCAGAGCTTGGTCTAAACTTAAATATGCTTGTATCAGCCTCAGAGATAACCCATATCTCTCATAGATGTTGAAGCCCCAATACAAAAGATACTGAGTGGCCCTCCCTCTAACGCAAATGGAAATACCTGTAGTATTTGAGAGTTCTTAAGAGTTTTCTGTTTTAGGACTGAAAAGCATTTGACTGGTATAATTTCTAGGTATACCACAAGCTCCCATGTCAACAAATTTCTTTCTTTCATGAATTCTAAGTTAGTTAGTCCAACCCAGATTTTCAGTGAATAGACCTAATCCCATGGTTTGTCATGGTCTGGCAGCAGAGGGAAAAGTCAAGGTATCAGGACTGGGAACCAAAATGTGAGGAACACTGTGGAATAAGCCTAGGTTGGAGTTTGCTAGGAATATTGACCCTGTGGATAGAAAGTAATTACAGAATTAAATGCTCAAAGAAGTCGGATTTCAGCAGTCCTGGAATATTGAAATGTAGGAAACGAATAAAAAGCATAGCAAGCATGTTTCTGTTATGTTTCTGTCACTGCCCTAAATCCAGGGGAGTTTCAATGAAACTGAAACATGGTTCAGACCCTGAAGGAGTCTCCTTGTAGGGGCAAGTAAGTCAAACTTAAAAATGTATTATTGAACTGAAATATGCAAACAGAATATATCATAAGACTACAGGCTAGGAATTTTTCACAAATTCAGGACCCTTTAGGTGGTACTGAGCTTCAGATCAAGAAAGAGAACATTACCTGTCCATTAGTGACCATATTGACAATTACTTCCAACCTCTTCCCAAAGCTAACTATTCTTTTTTTTTTTTTTTTTTTTTTTTTTGAGACAGAGTCTCGCTCTGTTGCCCAGGCTGGAGTGCAGTGGCACGATCTTGGCTCACTGCAAACTCCGCCTCTCGGGTTCATGACATTCTCCTGCTTCAGCCTCCCAAGTAGCTGGGACTACAGGCGCCCGCCACTGCGACCAGCTAATTTTTTGTATTTTCAGTAGAGATGGGGTTTCACCGTATTAGCCAGGATGGTCTCGATCTCCTGACCTCATGATCCGCCCACCTTGGCCTCCCAAAGTGCTGGGATTACAGGCGTGAGCCACTGCGCCCGGCCACTATTATCTTGACTTATAATGACAAAGATAAATTTTGCCTGTTTTTAAACTATATATACATGGGATCCCACAGTGTATACTTTTCATATTTAGCTTCTTTATATTAATGTTACATTTGTAAGCATCATCTATATTTTTCAATCCAGGTGTAGAGTGTTCATTCTCATTGCTGTATAGCACCCCATAGTGTAAAGATACTGTATTTATTTATCTAATCTACTAATGATGACTATTTTATAGTTTTTCTGTTTTGAAATGCTATAAATGATGTTGATCTGAAACTTCTAATACCTGTCTTTGGTTAACATATGTATGTATTTATGTTATATAAATGTCTCAGCCTGCAATTGCTGAGTCATAGATGTTGGTAGTATTTATGTGGAGTCTTGTTTTAAGAAGAACAGTAAAGCCACATCAGAGCTTAGCATAAATTTGTTATGTCTGCCATGGGCAAGGGACAGAGAGGCAATGGTATGTATGTGTATTAGTCCATTCTCACATGGCTATGAAGACATACCTGAGACTGGGTAATTTATTTATAAAGAAGGGAGGTTTAATTTATAAAGAATAGAGCCTATATGATATTATTATAAATTGTAATTTATAAAGAATAGAGGTTTTATAGCCAGGTGTCTATAGGCTTCTGGCTTCTGAGGGGGTCTCAGGAAACTAACAATCATTGAAGGCAAAAGGTAAGCAGGCACACTTCATATGGTCAGCACCAGAGAGAAAGCAAAGGGGGTCTACTACACACTTTTAAACAACCAGATCTCATGGGAATGCTATTATGAAACAGCACTAGGGGAATGGTGCTAAACCATTAGAAATCACCTCCCACCAGGCCCCACCTCCAACAATGGAGATCACAATCCAGCATGAGATTTGGGTGGGGACACAGAGAGAAACTAGATCATTTTACCCCCGGCCCCTCCCAAATCTCATGTCCTTCTAACATTTCAAAACACAATCATGCCTTCCCAACAATCCCTCAAAGTCTTAACTCATTCCAGCATTAACTCAAAAGTCTAAGTCCAAAGTCTCATCTGAGACAAGGCAAGTCCCTTCTTCCTTTGAGCCTCTAAAATCAAAAACAACTTAGTTGCTTCTAAGATACAATAGGGGCACAGGCATTGGGTAAATACTCCCATTCCAAAAGGGAGAAATTGGCCAAAACAAAGGTGCTACATGCCTCATGCAAGTCCTAAACCCAGCAGGGCAGTCATTAAACCTTAAAGCTCCAAAATAATATCCTTTGACTGCATGTCTTACATCCAGGGCATGCTGATGCAAGGAGTGGGCTCCCAAGGCCTTGGGCAGTTCTGTCCCTGTGGCTCTGCAGGGTACAGCCCCCAGGGCTTTCACAGGTTAGAGTTGAGTGCCTTTGGCTTATCCAGGTGCACAGTGCAAGCTGCCAGTGAATTATCATTCTGGGGTCTGGAAGATGGTGGTCCTTTTCTCACAGCTCCACTGCACAGTGCCTGATGTGGTTTGGCTGTGTCCCTACCCAAATCTCATCTTGAATTGTGACCCTCACAGTTCCCATGTGTTGTGGGAGGAACCCAGTGGGCGGTGATTGAATTATGGGGGTGGGTCTTTCCTGAGCTGTTTTTATGATTGGAGGGATTGAGTCTTACAAGATCAGATAGCTTTAAAAATGGGAATTTTCCTGCACAAGCTCTCTCTCTTTGCCTGCTGCCATCCATGTAAGATGTGACTTGCTCCTCTTTGCCTTCCCCCATGATTGTGAGGCTTCCCCAGACATGTGGAACTCTAAGTCCATTAAACCTCTTTGTTTTGTAAATTGCCCAGTCTCAGGTATGTCTTTATCAGCAGCATGAAAATGGACTAATACAGTAAACTGGTACCAGGAGTGGGGCACTACTAGAAAGATACCCAAAAATGTGTAAGCGACTTTGGAAATGGGTAACAGGCAGAGGTTGGAACAGTTCAGAGAGCTCAGAAGAAGACAATAAAATGTGGGAGTTTGGGACTTCCTAGAGATTTGTTGAATGGCTTTGACAAAAATGCTGATAGCGATATGAACAATAAGGTCTATGCTGAGGTGGTCTCAGATGGAGATGAGGAACTTGTTGGGAACTGGAGCAAAGGTAGCTATGCTGTGTTTTAGCAAAAAGACTTGTGGCATTTTGTCCCTGCCCTAGAGATTTGTGAAACTTTTAACTTGAGAGAGATTATGTAGGATATCTGGCAGAAGAAATTTCTAAGCAGCAAAGCATTCAAGAGTTGACTTGGGTGCTGTTAAAAAGATTCAATTTTAAAAGGAAAACAGAGCGTTAAAGTTCAGGAAATTTGCAGCCTGACGATGTAGTTAAAAAGAAAAACTTATTTTCTGAGGAGAAATTCAAGCTGGCTGCAGAAATTTGCATAAATAACCAGGAGCCACATGTTAACCCCCAAGACAATGGGGAAAATGTGTCCAGGGCATGTCATAGGTCTTCATGGCAACACTTCCCATCACAGACCCAGAAGCCTAGTAGGAAAAAATTGTTTTGTGGGCCATGCCCCAGGTGTCCATGGTGTGTGCAGCCTAGGGACTTTGTGCCCTGCATTGCAGCCACTCCTGTTATTGCTAAAAGGGGCCAAGGTACAGCTTGGCTCATGGTTTCGAAGGATGCAAGCCCCAAACCTTGGCAGCTTCCACGTGGTGTTGAGCCTGCAGGCACAGAGAAATCAAAAATTGAGGTTTGGGAACCTCTGCCTAGATTTCAGATGTATGGAAATGTCTGGATGTCCAGGAAGAAGTTTGCTGCAGGAGCAGGGCTCTCATGGAGAACCTCTGCTAGGTCAGTGCAGAAGGGAAATGTGAGACTGGAGCCAGCCCCTACACAGAGTCCCTACTGTGGCACTGCCTAGTGGAACTGTGAGAAGAGGGCCACTGTCCTCCAGACCCCAGAATGGTAGATACACTGACAGCTTGCACAGTGTGCCTGGGAATGCCACAGACACTCAACGCCAGCCTGTGAAAGCAGCCAGGAGGGAGGCTGTGCCCTGCAATGCCACAGAAGTGGAGCTGCCAAAGACCATAGGAACCCAGCTCTTGCATCAGCATGACCTGGATGTGAGACATGGAGTCAAAGGAGATCATTTTGGAGCTTTAAGATTTGACTGCCCTGCTGGATTTTGGACTTGCATGGGGCCTGTAGCCCCTTTGTTTTGTCCAATTTCTCCCTTTTGGAATGACAGTACTTTCCCAATGCCTATACCCCTATTGTATCTAGGAAGTAACCAATTTGCTTTTGATTTTACAGGCTCAAAGGCAGAAGGGACTTGCTTTGTCTCACATGAGACATTGGACTGTGGACTTCTGGGTTAATATTAAAATGAATTAAGACTCTGGGAGACTGTTGGGAAGGGATGATTGGTTTTGAAATGTGAGGACATGAGATTTGGGAGGGGCCAAGAGCAGAATGATATGGCTTGGCTCTGTCTCCACCCAAATCTTACCTTGAATTGTAACTCCCACACTTCCCACATGTCAGGGGAGGAACCCAGTGGGAGGTGATTGAATTATGAGGGTGGGTCTTCCCTGTGCTGTTCTCGTGATAGGGAATGAGTCTCACAAGATCTGATAGTTTAAAAAATAGGAATTTTCCTGCACAAGCTCTCTCTCTTTGCCTGCTGCCATCCACATAAGATGTGAGTTGCTCCTCCTTGCCTTCCACCATGATTGTGAGGCTTCCCCAGCCACGTGGAACTGTAAGCCCATTAAACCTCTTTCTTTTGTAAATTGCCCAGTCTCAGGTATGTCTTTATCAGCAGTGTGAAAATGGACTAATACAGTGCCCCTCTGTATGTGGGGCTCTGACCCTACATTTTCCCTCTGCAATGCCCTTGTAGAAATTCTCCATGAGGGCTCTGCCCCTGCAGCAAACATCTGCTCGGACATCAGGCATTTTCATATATTTCTTGAAATTTAGGTGGAAGCCCCCAAGCTTCAATTCTTGCCTTCTGCACACCCACAGGCTTAATACCATGTGGTAGGTGCCAAGGCTTGGGGCTTGCACCCTCTGAAGCAACAGTCTGAGTTGTACCTTGGTCCCTTTTAGGCACAGCTGGAACTGGTGTGGCTGGGAAACAGGGTGCCATGTCCCAAGGCTGTATAGAGAAGTGAGGCCCTAATTCTGGACCATGAAACCATTTTCTTTCTCCTAGGTCTCCGGGCCTGTGATGAGAGGAGCTGCCACAAAGGTCTCTGAAATGCCTTGGAAGCTTTTTTTTTCATTGTCTTGGCTATTAATATTTGGTTCCTTTTCACTTATGCAAATTTCTGCAGCAGGCTTGAATTTCTTCTCAGAAAATAGGCTTTTATTTTCTATTACATGGTCAGGCTGCAAAATTTTCCAAACTTTTATGCTCTGCTTTCTTTGTAAATATAAGTTCCAGTTTCAGAAAATCTCTTTGTGCAAGCATATGAGCATACACTGTTAGAAGCAGCCAGGCCACACCTTGAATGCTTTGCTGCTTTAAAATTTCTCCCACCAGGTACATTAAATCATCACTCTCAAGTTCAAAAATCCACAGATCTCAGCGGCAGAGCACAGGGCTGCTAGTCTCTTTGCTAAAGCATAGCAAGAGGGATCTTTGCTCCAGTTACCAATAAGTTTCTCATTTTTATTTGAGACCTCCTCAGCCTAGACTTCATTGTCCATATCACTATAACATTTTGATCACAACCATTCAACAAGTCTCTAGGAAGTTTCAAACTCTCCCTCATCTTTCCGTCTTCTTCTGAGCCCTCCAAACTGTTCCAATCTCTGCCCATTACCCAGTTCCAAAGCTGCTTCCACATTTTCAGGTATCTTTATAACAATGCCCCATTTCTCTGGTACCAGTTTTCCATATTAATCCATTCTTACATTGCTATAAAAAACTACCTGAGACTAGGTAATTTATAAAAAACTAGTTTAATCAGCTCACAGTTCTACAGGCTGTACAGGAGGCATGGGTGAGGAGGCCTCAGAAAACTTATAATCATGGCAGAAGGTGAAGGGGAAGCAGGACTATCTTCACATGGCTGGCAAAAGAAAGAGAGCAAAGTGGGAAGTGCTGCACACTTTAAAACAACCAGGTCTTGTGAGAACTCTATCATGAGATAGCACTAGGTCAGTGGTGCTAAACCATTTTCATGCTCCAGTCACCTTCATGCTCCAATCACCTCCCATCAGACCTCACCTCCAACACTGGGACCATAATTCAACATGACATTTGGGTGAAGAAAGAGAGCCAAACCATATTAGCATGCCAAGTATTTGGTAACCTCAGTATTGAACAATAGTATAATTAGTTCATCAAAAACATGATTTCATGTACAAAGTTAAGAAACAAGATAGAGAAAGCGATTCTGAAAGTCAGGAAGCAAAGTTCATTGAAAAACGGGAGATATATAGCCCTGACAGTCCTTTCAAGATTTAGATTCTGTCTTTTCCACTTCTTTCTTAGTTCTTCTTTCTCTTTCATTCAGTGCTGATAAGCTGTGTAGTTGGTTTGAGAGACTGACAAGTAATAGGACATAGTTGCCACTATAACCCACATTTATTCAAGTGACACCAGCCTGGGTGACTGGGGTACAGGATATCAATGAAGAGACAGTTTAAAGAAGATACATGAAATGAGGACAATCTCTTGATCTCATGGGAGAAGTTGGAAGTGGCTAGACGTGAATGTGTGCTTTAAACTAAAAAGTACTAATATTAAAAGTAAGTAATTGGCCAGGCTTGGTGGCTTACGCCTGTAATCCCAGCACTTTGGGAGGCTGAGATGGGCAGATCATGAGTTCAGGAGATCGAGACCACAGTGAAACCCTGTCTCTACTAAAAATACAAAAAAAAATTAGCCGGATGCGGTGGCAGGTGCCTGTAGTCCCAGCTACTTGGGAGGCTGAGGCTGGAGAATGATGTGAGCCCGGGAGGCGGAGTTTGCAGTGAGCCAAGACCGCACCACTGCACTCCAGCCTGGGTGACAGAGCAAGACTCCATCTCAAAAATAAATAAATAAAGTAAATAATCATACATAATATAAAAAATAGAGAAAATCAACAATACTAAGGTGGTTCTTTCAAAAGGTTGACAAAATTGAAAAGTCCTTAGCTAAGCTGAAAAAGAAAAGAGAGAATAATCAAATTACTAAAATCAGAAATGAAATAATAGACATGACTACCAGCCTTAAATAAATAAAAAGGCATATTAGAGAATACCATGAGCAAATATATGCCAACAAAAAACATAACTTGGAGAAAATTGAGAATTCTGAGAAACATAAATCACTAAAACTGACTCAGGAAGAAATAGAAAATATGGATAGACCAACAGAAAATGAAGAGATCTCATTAATAATTTTAAAACATTTGACAAAGCAAAGCCTAGTTCCAGATTCATTGTAATAGTGAATAAAAACCAAACATTTAAGAAGAATTAGTACCCTGCTATGGTTTGAATGTATCTCACCAAAAAAAAAAAAAAAGTGTTAAAAACTTAATCTCTAATGTAACAGTGTTGAGAGGTGTGGCCTAATGGGAGGTGTTGAGTGTCATGAAGGCTCTATCCTCACAAATGGATTAGTGTCAGTTATAAAAAGACTTGAGTCTGTGAGTTTGATTCCTTGATTTTTCTCTTGCTCTTTCTCTCACCTTCTGCCATGGTGTAATGCAGTGAGAAGGCCTTTGTCAGGTGCTAGCACTGAGATATTTGACATCCCATGTTCCAGAGCTGTGAGAAATAAATTTCTTTTCTTTATAAAGTCTGTGCTATTCTGCTATAGCAACACAAAACAGACTAAGACACAATCATTCACAAACTCTCCCAAAACAGAAAAAGAGAGAACATTTATCAACTCATTTTATGAAGCCAGTATTACCCTGACACTAAAACCAGGCAAAGATATCACAAGAAAATAAAACTCTAGACCAATATCCTTTATGAATATAAATTCAAATGTCTGTAACAAAATACTAGCAAACCAAATCCAGTATCCATTAAAACAAGAAAATTTCCTAATGATTTATTCTAGGAATGCAAGGATGGTCAACATACAAAAATAAATTGATGCAATACACCATATTAATGGAAAGAAGGGATGAAAATCACGTGGTCAACTCAACAGATGCAGAAAACTTATTTAACAAAATTCAACACATTTTATTATAAAATGCTCAACAAACTAAGAACAGAAGGGAACTTCTTCAATATGATGAGGAGTATTACATAAAAAATGCATAACTAGAGCAAGAAAAAGACAAGATGCCTGCTCTCACTAGCTCTATTCAATACCTCTATTTAATTGCATCTGTTCAGTATTCAAATGCTATTGTAGTACTGGATATTCAGCTAGGCTAATTAGGAGAAAGAAAAAAGGAAAGGCAAATAAAGGAAAGGAAAAGAAAGGAAAGGAAAGGAAGAGAGAGAAAGGAAAGAAAGAAAGAAAGGAAAGAAAGAAAGGAGAAAGAAAAAAGAAAAAGAGAAATCTAGATTAGACAGGAGAAAGTAAAACTATCTCCATTTGTAGATGATAGGATCTTGTATAGAAAACCCTATGATTTCACTAAAGAAACTTTTAGAACTAAGAAATAAGTTCAGCAAGGCTGCAGAATACTAGATCATTTTACAAAAATCAATTGTATTTCTATATATAAGCAATGAACAAGCCAAAAATAAAAATAAGAAAACAATTTTATTTACAGTAATGTAAAAGGAGTAAATGGGGAAAGGACATTCTATTTAATAAATGATGCTGGGATAACTGGCTAATCATAAGCTGAACACTGAAGCTGGACTTCTTCCTTTCACCATACAGAAAAAGTAGCTCAAAATGGATTAAATATTTAAATTAAAACCTCAAACTATAAAAATTCTAGAAGACAACCTATGATATATTTTTCTCAACATTGGCCTTGGCAAAGAATTTTTGGCTAAGTCTCCAAAAGCAATTGCAGTATAAACAGAAATACACAAGAGGAACCTAATTAAACTAAAGAGCTTCTACACAGCAAAAGAAACTATTAGCATAGTAAACAGACAACCTAAAAAATGGAGAGGATACCACAAACTGTGTATCTGACAAGGGCCTAATATCAAGTATCTATAGGGAACCTAAATGAATCAACAAGCAAAAAACAACCCCATTAAAAAATGGGCAAAAAACATGAACAGACACTTCTCAAAAGAACACATATAAGCAGCCAACAAACATATGAAAAAATGCTCAGTATTCATATGCACAATCATATGAAAAAAGTCAAAACCATAATGAGATACCATCTCATACCAGTCAGAATGGCTATCATAAAAAGTCAAAGAACAGATGCTAGCAAGGCTGTGGAAAAGAAGGAAAGTTTATACACTGTTGGTGGGAATGCAAATTAGTCTGGCTACTATAGAAAGCAGTCTGGAGATTTCTCAAAGAACATGAAACAGAGCTACCATTTGACCTAGCAATCTCATTACTGGGTATATACCCAAAGTAAAATAAACCATTCTACCAAAAACACACATGCACTTGTACGTTCATCACTGTGCTATTCATAATAGCAAAGGCATGGAATCAACCCAGGTGCCCATTAATGGTAGATTGGATTTTAAAAATGTGATACATATATACCATGAAACACTATGCAGCCATAAAAAGGAATGAAATCACGACCTTTGCAATAACATGGATCCAGTTGGAGGCCATAATCCTAAGCAAATTGATGCAAGAAGAGAAAACCAAATACCATATGTTCTCACTTATAAGTGGGATCTAAACATTGAACACATATGGACATAAATTTGGGAACAATAGACACTGTCAACTCCTAGAGAGAGGAGGGAGGGAGGTGGGTTTTGGATGAAAAACTACCTATTAGATACTATGTTCACTACCTGGGTGATGGGCTATATACCCAAAACTTCAGCATCAGACAATATTGTTGTGTAACAAACCTGTACTTGTAGCCCTGTATCTAAAATAAAAGGTTTTTTTTAAATAAAAATCATGTAGAAGTCAATATTGAGAATAATAAAATCATTTTCAAAAAACAAGAATACTTAGGAAAACATTTAAAAGAAGAAGTATAAAACATGTACTCAGCATTGCAAAACATCACTTAATACTTTTTTTTTTTTTGAGACAGAGTCCCACTCTGTTGCCCAGGCTGGAGTGCAGTAGCACAATCTTGGCTCACTGCAAGCTCCACCTCCTGGGTTCACGCCATTCTCCTGCCTCAGCCTCCCAAGTAGCTGGGACTATAGGTGCCCACCACCACGTCTGGCTAATTTTTTGTATTTTTAGTAGAGACAGGGTTTCACCGTGTTAGCCAGGATGGTCTCCAACTCCTGACCTCGTGATCTGCCCACCTCAGCCTCTCAAAGTGCTGGGATTACAGGCGTAAGCCACCATGTCTGGCCAGCATTTTAAAAAATTTAAATAAATTAAAAGACATCCTATGTTCATGGATAGGAAAACCTAATATTATTAAAATGTTAATACTCCCTAAATTGATCTACAGACTTAAGTGTAATCTCTGTCAAAATCTCCACTCCTTTTTTTCTGCAAAAATGGCAAGCAGAACCTAAAATTCATATGGAAATTCAAACATCCCAGAATAGTAAAACTAGAAAAGGATAGCAAAATTGAAGGACTCACACTTTCTGATTTCAAAATTTTACTCAGTTTCAGTAATTAGGACTGTGTGTTACTGGCATAAGGATGGATATATAGGTCAATGGAATAGAATTGAGAGCCTGGAAATAAACCTTTCTACTTACAATCAATTGATTTTCAACAAGAGCACCAAGATAATCCAATGAAGAAGACTAATCTTTTCAACAAGTAACACTGGGACAACTGGATTTCGACATGCAAAAGAATGAAGCTAGACACCTTCCTAGCAATATACACAAAAATGAATTCAAAATGGGTCAGAGACCTAAATTTAAAAGTTAAAACTGTAAAATCCTTAGAGGAAAGCATATCCCTGGATTAGGCTGTAGAAAGGCAACAAAATAAAAAATAGATAGATTGAACTTCATCAAAATTGAAAACTTTTGTTCGGCAAATGATGCCATCAAAAAAGTGGAAAGACAATTGACAAAATGGGAAAAAGTATTTGCAACTCACATATCTGATAAGAGACTGATGTACAGAAAACATAATGAGTTCTCACAACTCAATAATAACAAGACAACTCAATTAAAAATGGGTAATTGATTTTTATAAGCACCTATCCAAAGAACATATACAGATGACCAATGAATATATTAAGAAATGCTCAACATCATTAGCCACTAGGGAAAGACAAATCAAAGCCTCAATGAGATACTACCTCACACCCACTAAGATAACTATGACCACAAAACAGGTAATCACAAGTGTCAGCCAAGATATGAGGAAATTGAAACCTTCTTACATTCATGGTGAAAATGTAAAGTGGAAAAAGTACTTCTTTCAAGTTTAAAATGTTAAGTATAGAGCTACCAAACAACCCAGCTCTACTATTGAATGTTCCACACAAAAACTTGAATTTTCTTAACAGCTTTATTCATAATAGTTAAAAAATGGGAAAAAAAACAAATGTCTATCAACTGACAAATGGATAATAAATAAATGTGATATATCCATATAATGGAATAGTTTTCAGTCATAAAATGGAATGAAGTACTGATACATGCTACAACATGGATAAACCTTGAAAACATTGTGCCAATTGAAAGAAGCCACAGACAAAATACCATATATCCTATCATTCAATTTATATGAAATGTCCAGAATGGGCAAATACATAGAGACAGACAGAAGATTACTAGTTGCCTACAGCTGGGAATGGGGATAGGAGAGTAATAGAGGGTGATTGCTAATGGCTCAGGGTTTCTTTTTAGGGTAAAGAAAATATTCCAAACTTAGATTATGGTGAAGTTTGCTTACCTCCCTGAATATCCTAAAAACCATTGAATTGCATACTTTGCATGAGTAAATTTTATAGTATATGAATTACATCCAATAACTATGTTTTTAAAATGTGAAGTATAATCATGATGATGATTAAAGAGCCTGTCAAGGCAGAAGAGAAACGAAGAAAAGTGCCATGACAGATTAAGGTGGAAGTTAGTGCATCTTTGGTCAGAAACAGTTTACCTAACTTAATAAAGGCATATGATCTACAACTACCACTATAAGAATGGGATAAAGAGAAGCAAAATATACAGAGCAAGGTATAGATTTTTACCGAGTGCAAATCTAAATTATCTTTACACTCAACACTAGGACTTCTGAAAGTCTTTAAAGAGCTATTGAAGTTCTAAATATATGTATATATTTTCATAAATAAGCAGTTTTCTGCCCAAATCTGCCAAGGCTGCCTCTCTCCAGATGGCAGACAGCAGCTGGGCTGAGCTGATTCTACAGTCTTTAAAAAAACCCTTTTCTCTGCCCTTCACCACCTATACTTCGAGGGGCTGCCTGCTGCTCCTGGCCTCACAGCAGGGTCTCCATTTACATCAGCCAGACCCTAACCAACATCTCAGTCCGGACAGGCTGCATTACACTTGGATTCTAATTGAAGAGGAGTTGTGGGAACCCAGGAAAAAGTTTTCATTGTGGCCTTGTGTTTTCAGAGGATGCTGAAGTTGTAGGCAGCAAGATGAAATATCAATGTTTCCATATTAACCTAAGTAGAAGCCTTCTTTCTTTTCCTAAGCTTTTTCTCTTTCATTTCTTTTTTCCTCTCTCTTTCATTTTTTGGTCTGAGACACTTTGTTAATTTTTAAAGATTAACAGGCCATTTAGCATGAGAAGAGTGTGGTGCAGGTCACAGATGAATAAATTAATACCAAAACTTCACACTAAGATGAAAATTAAAGCTGTCTTTTATTGCTTAAAGTATCAGTGAATGCTGAGCAGGAGGAAATTGGTATCTCATTAAAAAAAAGCAAAAGAGAAGTAGAGAGGAAGCTCGATGCTCATTAAAAGTGGTGGAAAAGCTGTCTTAATTATGCATTTCCATTTGCTAACAAGAGGACATTTGTTATGAGCTCAGGTCACTTTATCCCAAACAAAACAAACAGAGTTAATGACATTATTTTTGTCCTTTAGACAGTGGTGACTCTGGAGTCCTGTTTCAAAATAAAGGTTTCACTGCGGGAAGTCAGTAAGACCAGAGAATACTGGCAAAGGGTCAACTGCTTTCACTTTCAAAGATTGATTTGAGAGCTGATACCCAACCTTTCACCTTGGCCCCATGTAACGGGGAAGGTAAAAGAGTCTGTGCGTCTGGAGAGGCATTTAAAGGCCATGCTAAGAGTCATTCAGTTAGAAACAGTTATTGAAAGTCTACTGTCCCTGTAAAATACCAGTTTTCTTTCTTGGAAAATGGAGATACTAACGACCTCATGGTTGTTGTGGTGATTTAATAAGATGTTACATGAGAAAGCACTGAGCAATGAGTTAAGGGCTCTAAGAAACTTGAACAATACCAGCTGCCACTTAGTGATGCTTGCTAGGAGTACATTACTTAATTTTCACAATACCTATATGTAATGTTATAGTTTTCACTCTACGAGTTAAAACAGAGAGAGAGAAATTACGTGATTTTGTACAGTGTCAACCAGTAAGTGAGATTGGGATTTGAATCCAAGTCTGTTTTACAATTTATCTTGGAAAGTCATAAATAAGATATGGCCTGCAGTGGAATGAAAACATACTTCAATAATGAAACAGAGTATGATTAATGGCCAAAAGTATTTAATGTGCTAAGGGAATTTAAAGAAAAGAGAAATTACTTCTGGCTAGAGAATTATGCCAAGAGGCAGTAGCATAATGTCCAAGAGTATACACAGAATATTTGGTTCAAATCCCAGATCTCTTAGTTTCTAAGCTGTGTAATACTGGCCACATTATTTCTTCTCTCTAAGCTGCCTTCAGCTACAACATGAGGGTTGAGATACTACTTCCTTTTTAGGCTGTTGTTGGGCTTGAACAAAATAATGTGTGTAAAACATTCATCAGTGACTGGTGAATTACTTTTTAAAAATCAGAGAGTATTTTGTATAAGAGGTAGAAAATTAAGAGTTTTGAAGGACAATGGCTAGGTTTCAATAGAGACATGTAAGTTTGAAAGAATGAAGTATCTCCAATATTAAATACAATGCAATAAAATTGCTATTTAACCTATTTAAATTCATATTTAAAATCCATTGGAAGTATACCATTTTCTAAGTATGTCAAGCATAAGAACTAGTTTCAGGTTCAAGTAATGGTAGCAGTATTATATCAGACTAACCTCTCTGCCAATAACAATTACAGCTTGATCAGACTAACCTTGTAAGTAACTTGTATCAGACTAACCTTCCTTCCAATAACAATGACACTCTGCGTAAAATATAAAAATCAACAGAAGGATGCAGTTTTAATGATCTAAGGCAATGGAGAATGGACGAGAAATCTAAAATATGATGGTACCACAGTAGGGGAGCCTCCATACTGATGGGTAAATTCTCTGCATCTGTAATTCTAGCTACTAAAAGGCTGAGATAAGAGGATCCCTTGGAGGCCGGGAGTTCAAGTCCAGCCTGGGCAACATAGTGAGACCACATCTCAAAACAAAACAAAACAAAAAAAACTCTTCTCAAATTTTTGGCTTACTCATGAACTGTGCATGTTCAGGACCAAGAATCCAAGAGGAAGCATTCAGTAGAGATTGCAGAAACAATGCCTTAATGGGACTAAATTACTCTTTGAACAAAGGTCATTCTAGATCTTCTCTAAAACATCTTAAAATCAAATCTTGAAAGGAACAAATTAACTTTTCATTATCCATGTAATCTCTACTGTATCTGCAACATATCATTTTTCATCTAAATATAGTTTATTTGTGTTTGCTCTCATTTTTCTTGATCGATCTCACTAGACATTGGTATTTTGTTAATCTTTTTAAAGAATCAATTTTGGTTTTATTTACTTTATTTATAATTTCTTTATTTTCTATTCCATCGATTTACCTTCTTTATTACCTTTTCTCTTCTACTATCTTTGGTTTTATTCTGTTATTTCTTCCTAATTTCTTAAGCTGTATGTTAGCACATTACTTTTCAGTCTTTTTAAGTTTTCTGAAATAACCACTAAAATTAAAGCTATTAATTTGCCTCTAAGTACTGCTTTAGCTGTAATGTAAAAATTTTCATATGAATTATTGTTATTTCTCTTTAATTCTATTTATTGTCTAGGATCTGTCATGAACTATTTGCCAACTTACATGTTATTTATAAGTTTTTTTAATTGTCATTGATTTTTGCCTTATTTGAGTGGTGGTTAGAGTATAAAACCTATGTGATACTCATTCTTAGAAATTATTGAGACTTGCTTTAATGGGCTAGCATTTGGTCAGTTTCTAAAAATATTTTATGTGTGATTTAAGACACCTAAAAATCTACTTGGATTAGCATCCAAGTCCAACAGTATTTAAACTGTTAGTCTAGGGTGGGTTGATAACAAGGTGAGGGTCCTTCATTTTAAAACTCAATTTTAAAATCATAGTTAATATTACTTGACATCACCAAATATGATCCTTAGTCAGTAAGTCAGAAAGGCATTAAGGAGATAAGGAGGTAAAGAGGCAAGTACCTTGACCTGGTAGTTTCAAGACAGGTTGAAGAGTCAGAAGATTGTGTTACAAATAGTAGGCAGAAAGGTGCAATGGACACTACTGTCTCTGGCACTACTCTGAGATCTGACCTTCATGTACCATTGCAATTAGTGTTCACCTTTTCTTCCTAAAAGAAGATTCCTCTGGTAATTCTACATGCCAGGACTTCCAGCCACTCTCAAGTGTATCTAAATCCTGATGATGGCAATTGATGTATTCCATCATCACCCATCTCTTACATACAGCTGTTTTTGTCTGAAATCTGCCAAGTTCAAAAGTCAGAAAATGACCCTATCCTCAAAAGCCCCATCGTTCTTCTCAACTCCATTTCTCTTTTGTCTGGAATAACTTTCAAGCAATGATTAGTGATTTTATTCAATCCATCAACACTAGTCAGAATTACATCAGTCTCTTGGGCATTCAGCAAAATCTGACCTGATAGAAAACAGCCTACCAAAAGAAAATTTACAATCTGAAGAGTGGAAAAAGAGGGAAAAAGAATGGAACAAAGGACAAGGCAAAGATTGAGGCTGAGACCTAGGAAAATTTTTGAAAAAAGAAATTTCAGATCACTTCTGGTTTATTGTCATTGTATGAAACGGACCTTTTAACATCAAAGGATATCTGATTCAGAGCTAGTTTTCAAAGAAAAAAAAAGTGCTTATTCATTAGAAAAGGGTCATAGTCTTAGTTTCTTTACTTCTTGTTTACCTTTAGTTGTTGCTAAGAATGTTTTTCTGCTCTTAACCAAGGAATCACTGACACCATTTTTCCTCTTGGGCATATTTTTTTCAATCAGTAATTAAACCTCCTGAGACACATGGATATAAACACTAAGAGTGGACAGAAGCCTCAGTATTTTATGGGAATAACTCGGGATCTTTTATCACCTGTAGATCTAAGGGCTGGAAAAAAAATAAGATGGGATGTCTTTCCCAGGTAGACAATCAGTTTTCTCTCTTGAGAGTTCAAGGAAGTTGAGGAAAATGAGAAGTCAGCATTATCAGAGTCCATTCAGGTTATATTTAGCTTTTCAAATAGCCTAAGTGTAGGGAGGCATAAAGGATGTGGAGAAGGAGAAGCTTGGTTTCCTTTTCCTTGGAGCTCCAAGTTCACTAAGAGTAAAGTTAATTTATGTCTTTAACCACTCTTTCTAATTGGTCTGCCACCAAATGGGATTGAATTTGTGTTTGTTTTCATTTCTGTTCTTTGGATACTGAAATATCCACCATCATGGTAACTGAATTGAATTAAGATGTTATCTCCATGGCCTTCAGAATGCCAATGTGTATTCTGGGTACAAGGTAGTAACAAAAGGACCCATAACTGCCAATATGCTAAGATGTCTTCTGTCACTTAGTAAAACAAAGAGAATGGAAAGCAGGACTGGTAAGCCCTGGCAAGTACTAAAAAAAATTACATAGTATGGGGTGCTGGTGCTAGAAAGAAGACCAACATAGGGAAGTGCTGCAGGTGTAAGAGCAGGTGACAGCTATGTGAGAGCTCTAGAAATAAACATGTTAGGGTTTGGACTTGGAATATATCTATAGTTCAGCTTAGGATGACAAGCATTGAAGATGCACCTTGTTGACTTTATGAAAGTCCACTTCTGAAAATTTGGTCTGTGGAAAGAGTTTCATGGAACTTTGTTTCAGTCCCTGTTTCCTCATCTAGTGGGCTTGCGATGGATGTAAAGCAAGAATTTCTGTGGAACTCTGTAAAATGGGGAGAATACCACCCAGACTACCTCACAGAATTGTCCTGAGAATTCCATAAGATTATGTAAGTAAAGAGGCTTTGAAAGTTGAAAATTCATTTACAAGAGGACCATATTTTTTGACATTTGTGCCTTAGCTCTTGTTCCTTTTTAAAAAGTTATCTTCTATAGAGAAATGGTTGCATCTCTTAAAATATATAGAGTTGGGAATAATTGAAGGACAGCAGTGAGACTCAATAAAAGATGCAGGCAGGAAGTGAAGAAAAAGCACTCAATAGTAACGTTCTGTTCTTCTATGTCAATTAGTGGAACAGCTACTCTCTGCTGCCTTCCTTTTGGTAGGAAACGTGGTCTAAATGAAGCACATTCACTGGGAAGAAATAGATTCTGCTATTTATAAAATACACACTCGTTATCACTGAAGAAAAGACACAACTATCCCTCTTGGAAAATATGTGAAGTTTGAAATAATTCTCCCTTGTTAGAGTGAAACTCTCCCAAATCACTTAATATTACTTTTCACATAAATTATGTCATAGCAATAAATACTTGAGAATTAACACAGGAGGCTTCCATTGTATGTACACTTTTAAAATTTAAAATAAAGATTTGAAGCAAATGTGGCAAAATATTAATATTTTAAGCTGAGTATGATGGCATGAGTCCGGAGACCCAGCTACTACTGAGGGTGAGGTGAGAGAATCACTTGAGCCCAGTAGTTTGAGGCTGCAGTGAACTTTGATGGTGTTACTGCACTCTAGGCTGGGCAACAGAGCAAGAACTTATCTCTAAAAACAAACAAACAAACAAACATAACGTTAAGATTCTAGAAAGTTAGCAGGTTACTTCAATTCTATTAACAATTTCATAAGAAAATAAAAATTATTCAACTAAAAGAAAATAAGGAGAGAGAGGAGAATACAGAAGACTTGTAGAAAACAAATTGTTTGGTAACAGATGAAACCCAAATATATCAATAACTACATCAAGTGCAAACAGACTGAATATTCCATATTAATGTAGTATGGTTATGATATATTAAGATATTCATAATATATTATGAAGTTTTAAAAATCTATATGTTCTTTACAAGACATACTAAGAAAATGAAAATACAGAAAAACTCAAAGTAAAAGGATGAAAAATAAAAATATGTGAACACTAGGAAATGTGTAAACTAAAGACTGTAAAATTATCGAAATAACAGATCAGTTGATTTGTAGGGTAAGAAGAATTAATAGAAATAAAGTGGTATATTTCGTAATGCTAAAAGGACCAAATTTATTAGGAATACACCCCCGTGTGTGTCTCTCTCTCTGTGTGTGTGTGTGTGTATGTGTATTTATAAAATGTCTCAGGCTTTCTTCCTTTTTATAGAGGTCTCTGATGGGGAAATGGTTGTATCTCTTGAGCATTACAGAGTAGGGACTTATATATATACTACTGGTAAACGCACATACTCATGTAACCCACTCCTCTATAAGAAAGTCAAATATTTAAATCACCCTAGAAATTTCTCTCCCGTTTCACTCTGTTAGTTCTGTCTTGCCAGAGACAACCGCCGTTCTGATTTCTTTCACAGTGTATTAGTTTTGTCTTTTCTGTAGTTTTATAGAAATGGAATCATACAGTATGTACTTTCTGGTTTCTTTCTTTCAGCATAATGAATTTGAGTTTCAGCCATTTTGTTGTATGTACCAGTTCTTTGTTTTTATTGCTGGGTAGTATTCCATTGAATGAACATACCGCCATTTGCTTATTTTACATTCTCTCACCAATAGACATTTGGGCTGTTTTCAGTTGCTATTACGAGTAAAGCTGCTATGGCATTCTCATACAATACTTTTTGTAGTCATGTGCTTTCATTTCATTTGGATAAATTCCCAGAAGTGGAATTGCTGAGTCATAAGGTAGGTGTATATTTAACTATATAAAAACTTGGTGTTGTAAATATTTTTCATTTTAGCCATTCTAGAGGTTTGTAGTAATGTGCTGTTTTGATTTGAATTTGCATCTCCCTTTTGACACATTAACTGACCATTTTTATATTTCCTTTTATGAAGTGCCTGTTCAAATTTGTTATGCATTTTAATGAGATTGTTTGTCTTTGTTATTATTTTTAAAAGGCCTTTATAATATATAGGTATTGAAAACATTTTTCCTGATATTTGATCTGATACAAATTTTCTTAATGATAAATTCCAATGAGCATAAGTTGTGAATTTTGAAAAGGTCCACTTTATGAATTTTGTTTCTTTTATGGTTAGTGCTTTCTGAGATGAATCTAAGAAGGTATTGTCAAGGGCTTTGAAGATATTCTCCTTTTCTTCTAAGCTTTATAGTTGTAGTTTTTATCTTTAGAGCTATGGTATATCTTGAATTAATTTTATATGTGGCATGAAATAGGAGTTGTTTCTTTCTATGTGGCTTTCCAGTTGTTTCAGTGCCTTTTGTTGAATTGGCTTTCCTTTCCTCATTGAATTGCTTTGTGCCTATGACAAAATCATTGTAGGTCTCTCTCGACTTACCATTCTGTTTCACTGACCTATTTGTTTATCTGTGCATTAATAATTGTTGTGGTTTTATAAAAAGACTTAAAGACAGATAGTACAGGTTCTTCAGCTTTTTCTTGTTTCATAGGTTGTTTTGGCTAGTGTAGGTTCTTTGTGTTCCATATAGATTTTGAGATTAACTTGGATATTTCTACAAAAGGAACAGCTGAGATTTTTTATTGAAATCAGGCTGAATCTACAGATAATTTCAGGTGAATAGAAATCTCAGCAATATTCAATCTTGCAATATGTAAACATACATTCTTTATAAATATACATCCTATTTAATTTCTCTCATCTCCCTATATTTTTATGAATATGTCATTTATTTTGTTAGCTTTATCTTAAATATTTTATGACTTTTAATGTATTATAAATGACATTTTTATTACATATTCCAAGTTTGTATTAATAGTATAGATTTAAAAAATTGAGTTTAGATTGCACTTGTATTCTGTGATGTTGCTAAATTTACTTAGTAGCTCCAGTAGCTCTTTTCATACATTCTTCAGAATGTTCTAGGTACATGATCATCTCATCTATAAAGTTGCACTTCTTTCCATTTTGTTTGCTTTTTTTCCACCCAGCTAATACACTTGCCAAGACCTCTAGTATAATGTTGAATAGTAGTAAAGAGCAGACATTCTTCCTTTTCCCAGTGTTAGAGGGGAAAGGGCTCAATCTTCTATCATTAACATGATCCTGTCTACCCCTGGGAGATTTTGTCTGTAACAAGTCTGGGTGTTGAATTCTATCAAATGCTTTCTCTACATCAATTAGGAAGAGCACACAGTTTTTCCTCCTTTATTCTGATAATATCATGAATTACACTTATTAAATCTTACACCAACTTTGAATTCCTTGAATAAGCCTTGCTTTATCATAATGTGTTATATTTTTTACATTTTGCTGAATTATTTTCTAATACTTTAAAAGTTTTTAGTATATGTTAAGGAAGCTTATTTGTCTTTAATATTTCTGTTTGGTTCTGGGAAAAGGATAATACAAAATTTAATTAATAATGAATTAATTGGGAAATGTTTCCTCTCTCCTACTTTGTGAAAATAATTGGTAGGATGGTGTTATTTTTTAAACAAATGTTGACAGAATTTATCAGTTAACCTTTATGTGTATGTGTGTGGGAAGGTGTTTAATTATGAATTCAATTTTAGTAGTTATGAAGCTATTCAAGTTTTCTATATCTTCTTTTTTAGTTTTCATCATTTGTCTTTTAAGAACTTTTTTATTTCCTTTACATTTTCAATGGTATTAGCATAAAATTGTTCATAATATTTATTATCTTTCTCATGCCCTTCTCTTTCTTTTTTAATATTGGAAATTTGTGTCTTCTCTCCCGCATACTTTTTAAAATTTTGTGATCAATCTAAATAGAGTTTTGTCTATTTTATTCACTATTATAACTAGGGTTCTTTTTTTACATTATCTCTATCATATATGGACTTTTTTATGTGTCCTCTGTCATCGTTATTTCCTTCCTTTTATTCACAATGAGTTTAATTTGCTTTTTTTAATTCTTGCTTCTTATAGCAGAAAGCTAGGTTGTTTATTTTAAACCTTTTATCTTTTCCTTGTAAAAGTATTTAAGCTGTAGGAATATCTCTCTAAGCACAGCTTCAGTTGCATTACACAAATTTTGATATGTTGTATTTTAATTATTTTTCAAAGTATTTTCTAATTTCCCACATTTGTTTTTCTTTAACTCATGGGTTACGTAAAAATGTTTTCCTTAATATTTTTTCATTTTCCAGACAATTTTATTGTTATTGATTTGTAATTTGATATTAATGTTGTCAGAAAATGACTGTTTATGGTTTCAATTATTTTCAATTAATTGAGATTTGATATAAGATATGGCCTAACCTTGGTTCATGTTCCCTGGGCACTTTAAAAAAATGTGTTTTCCATATTCTATAAGTATCAAGTGGTTGATAGTAACATTTAAGTTGCCAATACCCTTGCTGAATTTTGTAGTCTTATCTATTAGTTACCTGGAAAATAGAGCTAAATTTAGTAACTCTAATTGTGAATATGTCTGTTTCTCCCTTTGGGTCCATCAATTTTTGCTGCATGTATCTGGAAGCTCTTTAATTAGTTGCATATACACTTAGGTTTATTACATATTTTTAGTGAAGTGACCTTTTTATCATTATGAAATTCTCCTCTTTCTTTTGGATAAATTTTTTGCCTGAAATTGACTTTATCTAATATTAATATAGCCATTCCAGCCTCCTGATTATTAAAATTTTATGATATATCTTGTTTACTCCTTTCACTTTTAACCTGTGTATGTGTCTTTTTATTTAAAGTGTATTTTTTATAAATAGCATATAGGCAGATCTTGCTTGTTTATACAGTCTAAGAATCTCTGCTGTTTTATCAAAGTATTTAGTCCATTTATATCTCATGTAATTATTTATATTATTGATTTTAGGTCTACTAGTTTTAATATGTTTTTTAATTGTCTTATCTTTGTTCCTTTGCTATATTTTCTTGACTTTTTCATTAACTAAACACATTTTAGTATACCATTTTATATCTTATATTAGCTTTTTATTTGTACCACTTTTATCTTTTAAAGTTTGATCTAATATTTACAATATGTACCTTTATTTAATAGCAGTTTATTTTGAATTAATATTCTATCATTTCACATATAATGTAAGAACCTATAACAGTATATATCTAGTTCCTCTCTCATCTTTGTATAATTGTCATTCATTTTACTTTTATGTATGTTAAAATACAAAATATATCATTATTTTTCTCTAATTATCCATTTATCTTTTAAAGACACTGAGAAATAAGGAACATAAAGTTATTTTAGACATACATGTTTCCCATTTGAAGAACCTTTATTTTGTGTATAGATTTGAGTTTTCATTTAATATCATTTGCTTTTGCCTAAATAACTTATGTTAATGTATATTATGGTTTTCACCTGTCCACCACAAATTCTCTCAACATTTACTTCTTTGAATATATCTTTGTTTCCTCTTCATTTTTGAAGAGTATTTTCACTGGATATAAAAGTCTTTCACTGAATATAAAAATCTTTCCATTGCCTTTGGCCTTCATTGTTTCCTTTAAGAATTTATCAGTCATTCTTTTTATTGTTATTTTGTCTTTTGGGGGATACCTTTAATATTTTCCTTTTGGTTTTTAGTAATTCGATTATGATACCTAGGTGTGGTTTTCCATGTATTTCTGCTGTTTGTGGTTTACTTTGATTCTTAGATTAGGGGCTTAAAGTTCTCATAAAATTTGGAAAACATTCAGACATGTTTACTTCAATATTTGTTGCCCTAATCTCTCCTCTCCTTCTGGTGTCTCCAACTAGATATGTACGAAACCACTTGAAATTTCCCCATAAATAACTGAGGTGCTATATAATTTCTTCTCAGTCTTTTTTCTCTTTGTGTTTCATTTGGTTTGTTTGTATTACTTGTCTTAAAGTTCACTGGTCTCATCTTCTACAGTGTCAGTTCTGTTGTCAAGTCTATCCAGCATAATTTTATACCAAATATCATAATTTTTTTGATCTGGAATTAACATTTGTGGTTTTCGTGTTTTGTTTTCTCTATTAAGATCTATTGTTTGTTCCCTCATTATTTGCCTGTCTTTTTTTTTTCAGGGATTTAAACGTCCTTGGACATATTTTAAATAACTGTTATAAAAATCCTTGTCTATTAATATCATCATTTCTGAGACTGTTTCTATTTACTAATTGTTTTATGTACTTAAAGGGAACAATTTCTTGTTTCTTCATAGATCTAGTAATTTTATTGCATGCTTGATGTAATAAATACTATATTACTGAGACAAGGTTTGTAGTTTTTTTTTGAAGAAGTGATGGGTTTCTGTCTGACAGTGGTTAATTGATTTGGGGGTTAACTTAATTATTTTGTATAAGAAATCTACTCTTAAAACTATAAAACATTACTGAGAGTAAACAAGATGTAAGTAAATGGAGGGATATTTTATGACCATGCATCAGAAGTCTCAGTACTGTAAAGACAACAATTCTTCAGCAATTTATTAACAGATTGAATGCAATCTCAATTAATACCAATGTCAATTTTAATGTAAATTGGCAATATAATTCTAAAATTCATATAGAAACATAAGCTAAAAATAACCAAAGAAAATCTTGAAGAAAATAAACAAAATTGGAAGTCTAACACCACTAGATATCCAACTATATTTATTACAAAGCTGTAATATTTGATACAACTGGTATAAAATAAATAAATAAGACAGAGATTCCAGAAAACAATCACACATATATGAAAATTTTATTTATGACAAAGATGCAGTTTCAGAGCAGTGAGGAAATGACAGTCTTTATTTAAATAAAGGGTGCTTATGTAATTGGTTATGCATGTGAAAAAAGTGTGTCTTGGCCCCTATCTCACACCTTACCCTCCAAAATTAACTGTAGATGACTTGATACATCTTAATGTACAAGATACGAGGGCTCAAGATTTCAGCATATAACATGCAGAATACCTTCATGGCCTTTCAGGTTAGCAAAGATTTTTTAAACTAGACACAAAGGGGAGTAATCATGAAGAAAACAATTTATATCTTGGACTACATTAAAATTAAATATATCTGCTTACCAAATGATACCATTAGAAGAGAGGTAAGAGAAGCCAAAGGTGGGAGACAGTATTTGCTACATGTATTATTAACAAATGAATTATATCTAGAATAAAGAACTTCTACAACTCAGAAAAAAGATATACAATCTACTTTTTAAAAATTTAAATGAATAAATGTTTCATAAAAGAAGACATTCCAATGGTCAATAAGTATTTTTGTCAGTTAATAAGTTTTAAATGCAAGTTAAAGGCAGAATGAGATATCACTACACAATTACCAGAAGGACTAAAATGTTCAGATGTGAAAAAACTAAAGATTTCTTTTATTGATGGTAAGGATGTAATTTGGCACAACCAGGTACAAAAGCTGATTTATCTACTAAGGCTGTTACACATATCTAATTACACGAAATTCAATTTCTAGCTATATATCCAAAAATGTGTTCACACATGCACCAGAATACATGTATAAGAATGTAAAAACCAAGGTTTGGAAACAAATAAATATGATATAATCAATTATTATATACCATCATTATCATTACATACAGCAATAACAATAAAGTATCTCCTGTATGCAACAACATGGATAAATATCACAAACATCATCTCAAGCCAAGGAAACAAAAGAAAAAATTCGTACAACTTCACTTTATTTATATAAAATATTAAAATAGACAAAATTAATATCTGGTTGTCTTAGTACATTTGGGATGCTATAACAGATTACCATAAACCAGGTGAGTTATAAGCAACTGAAATTTATTTTTTATGGTGCTAGAGCAGGGGTGTTCAATCTTCTTTTTTTTTTTTTTTTTTTATTATACTTTAAGTTCTAGGGTTCGTGTGCACAACGTGCAGGTTTGTTACATATGTATACATGTGCCATGTTGGTGTGCTGCACCCATTAACTCGTCATTTACATTAGGTATATCTCCTAATGCTATCCCTCCCCCCTGCCCCCACCCAACAACAGACCCTGGTGTGTGATGTCCCCCTTCCTGTGTGCAAGTGTACTCATTGTTCAATTCCTGCCTCAGTGAGAACATGCAATATTTGTTTTTTTGTCTTTGCAATAGTTTGCTGAGAATGATGGTTTCCAGCTTCATCCATTTCCCTACAAAGGACATGAACTCATCTTTTCATGGCTGCATAGTATTCCATGGTGTATATGTGCCACATTTTCTTAATCCAGTCTATCATTGTTGGACATTTGGGTTGGTTCCAGGTCTTTGCTATTGCGAATGGTGCCGTAATAAACATATGGGTTCATGTGTCTTTATAGCAGCATGATTTATAATCCTTTGGGTATATACCCAGTAATGGGATGGCTGGGTCAAATGGTATTCCTAGTTCTAGATCCCTGAGGAATCACCACACTCTCTTCCACAATGGTTGAACTACTTTACAGTCCCACCAGCGGTGTAAAAGTGTTCCTATTTGTACACATCCTCTCCAGCACCTGTTGTTTCCTGACTTTTTAATGATCGCCATTCTAACTGGTGTGAGATGGTATTTCATTGTGGTTTTGATTTGCATTTCTCTGGTGGCCAGTGATGATGAGCATCTTTTCATGTGTCTGTTGGCTGCATAGATGTTTTCTTTTGAGAAGTGTCTGTTCATATCCTTTGCCCACTTTTTGATGGGGTTGTTTGTTTTTTTCTTGTAAATTTGTTGGAGTTCATTGTAGATTCTGGATACAAGCCCTTTGTCAGATGAGTAGGTTGCGAAAATTTTCTCCCATTCTGTAGGTTTCCTGTTCACTCTGATGGTAGTTTCTTTTGCTGTGCAGAAGCTCTCTAGTTTAATTAGATCCCATTTCTCAATTTTGGCTTTTGTTGCCATTGCTTTTGGTGTTCTAGACATGAAGTCCTTACCCACGCCTGTGTCCTGAATGGTATTGCCTAGGTTTTCTTCTAGGGTTTTTATGGTTTTAAGTCTAACATTTAAGTCTTTAATCCATCTTGAATTAATTTTTGTATAAGATGTAAGGAAGGGATCCAGTTTCAGCTTTCTACATATGGCTAGCCAGTTTTCCCAGCACCATTTGTTAATTAGGGAATCCTTCCCCCATTTCTTGTTTTTGTCAGGTTTGTCAAAGATCAGATAGTTGTAGATGTGTGGTATTATTTCTGAGGGCTCTCTTCCGTTCCACTGATCTATATCTCTGTTTTGATACCAGTACCATGCTGTTTTGGTAACTGTAGCCTTGTAGTATAGTTTGAAGTCAGGTAGCGTGATGCCTCCAGCTTTGTTCTTTTGGTTTAGGATTGACTTGGCAATGCAGACTCTTTTTTGGTCCCATATGAACTTTAAAGTAGTTTTTTCCAATTCTGTGAAGGAAGTCATTGGTAGCTTGATGGGGATGGTGTTGAATCTATAAATTACCTTGGGCAGTACAGCCATTTTCACAATATTGATTCTTCCTATCCATGAGCATGGAACGTTCTTCCATTTGTTTGTATCCTCTTTTATTTTGTTGAGCAGTGGTTTGTAGTTCTCCTTGAAGAGGTCCTTCACATCCCTTATAAGTTGGATTCCTAGGTATTTTATTCTCTTTGAAGCAGTTAGGAATGGGAGTTCACTCATGATTTGACACTCTGTTTGTCTGTTATTGGTGTATAAGAATACTTGTGATTTTTGCACATTGATTTTGTATCCTGAGACTTTGCTGAAGTTGCTTATCAGCTTAAGGAAATTTTGGCTGAGGCAATGGGGTTTCTAGATATACAATCATGTCATCTGTGAACAGTGATGATTTGATTTCCTCTTTTCCTAATTTAATATCCTTTATTTCTTTCTCCTGCCTGATTGCCCTGGCCAGGACTTCCAACACTATGTTGAATAGGAGTGGTGAGAGAGGGCATCCCTGTCTTATGCCAGTTTTCAAAGGGAATGCTTCCAGTTTTTGCCCATTAATTATGATATTGGCTGTGGGTTTGTCATAAATAGCTCTTATTATTTTGAGATACGTCCCATCAATACCTAATTTATTGAGAGTTTTTAGCATGAAGGGCTGTTGAATTTTGTCAAAGGCCTTTTCTGCATCTATTGAGATAATCATGTGGTTTTTGCTGTTGGTTCTGTTTATATGCTGGATTACATTTATTGATTTGCATATGTTGAACCAGCCTTGCATCCTGGGAATGAAGCACACTTGATCATGGTGGATAAGTTTTTTGATGTGCTGCTCGATTCGGTTTGCCAGTATTTTATTGAGGATTTTTGCATCGATATTCATCAGGGATATTGGTCTAAAATTCTCTTTTTTTTGTTGTGTCTCTGCCAGGCTTTGGTATCAGGATAATGCTGGCCTCAAAAAATGAGTTAGGGAGGATTGCCTATTTTTCCATTGATTGGAATAGTTTCAGAAGAAATGGTACCAGTTCCTCCTTGTACCTCTGGTAGAATTCGGCTGTGAATCTATCTGGTCCTGGACTCTTTTTGGTTGGTAAGCTATTAATTATTGTCTCAATTTCAGAGGCTGTTATTGGTCTATTCAGAGATTCAACTTCTTCCTGGTTTAGTCTTGGGAAGGTGTATGTGTCGAGGAATTTATCCATTCCTTCTAGATTTTCTAGTTTATTTGCATAGAGGTGTTTATAGTATTCTCTGATGGTAGTTTGTATTTCTGTGGGATCGGTGGTGATATCCCCTTTATCATTTTTTATTGTGTCTATTTGATTCTTCTCTCTTTTCTTGTTTATTAGTCTTGCTAGCGGTCTATCGATTTTGTTGATCTTTTCAAAAAATGAGCTCCTGGATTCATGGATTTTTTTGAAGGATTTTTTGTGGCTCTATCTCCTTCAGTTCTGCTCTGATCTTAGTTATTTCTTGCCTTCTGCTAGCTTTTGAATGTGTTTGCTCTTGCTTCTTTAGTTCTTTTAATTGTGATGTTAGGGTGTCAATTTTAGATCTTTCCTCCTTTCTCTTGTGGGCATTTAATGTTATAAATTTCCTTCTACACACTGCTTTGAATGTATCCCAGAGATTCTGGTATGTTGTGTCTTTGTTCTCATTGGTTTCAAAGAACATCTTTATTTCTGCCTTCATTTCATTATGTACCCAGTAGTCATTCAGGAGCAGGTTGTTCAGTTTCCATGTAGTTGAGTGGTTTTGAGTGAGTTTCTTAATCCTGAGTTCCAGTTTGATTGCACTGTGGTCTGAGAGACAGTTTGTTATAATTTGTTATTTTACATTTGCTGAGGAGTGCTTCACTTCCAACTGTGTGGTCAGTTTTGGAGTAAGTGCAGTGTGGTGCTGAGACAAATGTATATTCTGTTGATTTGGGGTGGAGAGTTCTGTAGATGTCTATTAGGTCCACTTGGTGCAGAGCTGAGTTCAATTCCTGGATATCCTTTTTAACTTTCTGTCTCGTTGATCTGTCTAATGTTGACAATGGGTTGTTAAATTCTCCCATTATTTTTGAGTGGGAGTCTAAGTCTCTTTGTAGGTCTCTAAGGACTTGCTTTATGAATCTGGCTGCTCCTGTATTGGGTGCATATATATTTAGGATAGTTAGCTCTTCTTGTTGAATTGATCCCTTTACCATTAAGTAATGGCCTTCTTTGTCTCTTTTGATCTTTGTTGGTTTAAAGTCTGTTTTATCAGAGACTAGGATTGCAACCCCTGCCTTTTTTTGTTTTCCATTTGCTTGGTAGATCTTCCTCCATCCCTTTATTTTGAGCCTATGTGTGTCTCTGCACATGGGATGGGTTTCCTGAATACAGCACACTGATGGATCTTGACTCTTTATCCAATTTGCCAGTCTGTGTCTTTTAATTGGAGCATTTAGCCCATTAACATTTAAGTTTAATATTTTTATGTGTGAATTTGATCCCGTCATTATGATGTTAGCTGGCTATTTTGCTTGTTAGTTGATACAGTTTCTTCCTAGCATTGATGGTCTTTACAATTTGGCATGTTTTTGCAGTGGCTGGTACCAGTTGTTCCTTTCCATGTTTAGTGCTTCCTTCAGGAGCTCTTTTAGGGCAGGCCTGGTGGTGACAAAATCTCTCAGCATTTGCTTGTCTGTAAAGTATTTTATTTCTCCTTCACTTATGAAGCTTAGTTTGGCTGGATATGAAATTTTGGGTTGAAAATTCTTTTCTTTAAGAATGTTGAATATTGGCCCCCACTCTCTTCTGGCTTGTAGAGTTTCTGCCGAGAGATCAGCTGTTAGTCTGATGGGCTTCCCTTTGTGGGTAACCCAACCTTTCTCTCTGGCTGCCCTTAACATTTTTTCCTTCATTTCAACTTTGGTGAATCTGACAATTATGTGTCTTGGAGTTGCTCTTCTCGAGGAGTATCTTTGTTGTGTTCTCGGTATTTCCTGAATTTGAATGTTGGCTTGCCTTGCTAGATTGGGGAAGTTCTCCTGGATAATATCCTGCAGAGTGTTTTCCAACTTGGTTCTATTCTCTCCGTCACTTTCAGGTACACCAATCAGACGTAGTTTTGGTCTTTTCACATAGTCCCATATTTCTTGGAGGCTTTGCTCATTTCTTTTTATTCTTTTTTCTCTGAACTTCTCGCTTCATTTCATTCATTTGATCTTCCATCACTGATACTCTTTCTTCCAGTTGATCAAATCGTCTACTGAAGCTTATGCATTTGTCACGTAGTTCTCGTGCCATGGTTTTCAGCTCCATCAGGTCCTTTAAGGACTTCTCTGCGTTGGTTATTCTAGTTAGCCATTCGTCTAATCTTTTTTAAAGGTTTTTAACTTCTTTGCGCTGGGTTCAAGCTTCCTCCTTTAGCTCAGAAAAGTTTGATTGTCTGTAGTCTTCTTCTCTCAACTCATCAAAGTCATTCTCCGTCCAGCTTTGTTCTGTTGCTGGTGAGGAGCTGCGTTCCTTTAGAGGAGGAGAGGCACTCTGATTTTTAGAATTTTCAGTTTTTCTGCTCTGTTTTTTCCCCATCTTTGTGGTTTATCTACCTTTGGTCTTTGATGATGGTGATGTACAGATGGGGTTTTGGTATGGATGTCCTTTCTGTTTGTTAGTTTTCCTTCTAAAAGTCAGGACCCTCAGCTCCAGGTCTGTTGGAGTTTGCTGGAGGTCCACTCCAGACCCTGTTTGCCTGGGTATCAGCAGCGGAGGCTGCAGAACCGCGAATATTGGTGAACAGCAAATGTTGCTGCCTGATCGTTCCTCTAGAAGTTTCATCTCAGAGGGGTACCCGTCCATATGAGGTGTCAGTCTGCCCCTACGGGGGGGTACCTCCCAGTTAGGCTACTCGGGGGTCTGGGACCCACTTGAGGAAGCAGTCTGTCTGTCCTCAGATCTCAAGCTCTGTGCTGGGAGAACCACTACTCTCTTCCAAGCTCAGTTGGAAATGCAGAAATCACCCATCTTCTGCATCGCTCACCCTGGGAGCTGTAGACTGGAGCTGTTCCTATGAAGCCATGTTGGAACCATCCCGGGGTGTTCAATCTTTTGGCTTCCCTGGGCCACATTGGAAGAAGAATTGTCTTGGGCCACACATAAAATACACTAAAACTAACAATAGCTGATGAGTTTTTTTTTAATTGCAAAAAAAAAGTCATAATGCTTTAAGAAAGTTTACAAATGTGTGTTTCAAAGCCATACTGGACCACATGTGGACTGCAGGCCAAGGGTTGGACAAGCTTGTTCTAGAAGCTGGGAAGTTCAAGATCCGGGTGCCATTAGATTCATTGTCTGGTGAAGGCCAGTTTCCGGTTCATAGACAGCTGCCTACCCTCTGTACCCTCACATGGCAGAAGAGACAAGACAGCTTTCTAGAGTCTCTTCTATAAGGACATGAATTCCACTTATGAGGGTCCCACCCTTAAGACCTAATAAACTCCCAAAGGCCCTACTTCCTAATATCACCATAATGGGGATTTGCTTCCACAAATGTTTTTTGGGGGTCTACGTGCATTTAGTCTATAGTAATGGTGTTAGAAATCAGAACAGGAGTTACCCTTAGGAGAGGAAGATTGTGACTGAAATAGTCATGACTGAACTTTTGGCAATGTTCACTTTGTGAAAATTCTCTGATGGATACCTGTTTCTATATGTTTCTATATGTATGCTACAGTACACTTGTCTATATGTATGTTATAGTTCAATAAAAAGGTTGATAAAAGAGAAACTTATAAAACTAAAATTAAGAAGTTAGACAAGAAATGATTGATTTCTGCTGTACTCTGCTAGTAAACCAATATTGCTTTGAAAATAAGATTTATAAAGTCAAAACAATGAGTAGCAACTGATTGTAGTGCATAGTTCCCCCCCACACTAGCTTTCTTTCATCTAGCCTGTGCTTGTTTTTATCAAGAAAAAATGAGGCAAATATTTAGTTTATTTGTTCATCAAATTCTAGAGTAGTAAGACTCATTCAAATTACTCAGCTTTCATTTTATTTCATCTATATATATTCTGTAGTGGGCTTCTCCCATTCTCCAACTTTAGAATATTTTCTCTATTTTTTGGATACAGATGTTAAGAGGAAGTTTTTTATGCTGAAAGGTGTCCAAGCAGAAACTCTTCAGATAACTGGAATGCAAAAGCATTAAAAAGCTCATTCTCCCCATCCTTGCCATAACCCCCACCCTCATCCCACACCCCAACCCACCCCCATACCATATGTTTCAGAGGAGCCAACTGGAATTTGGTGCTGACTGTGGAGAGAGAACATGAACGGAATAGAGGGAAAATAAGTTTTGCATTTGGTGAATTGAGCATATGGATAATTGAGGTCTTTGTTGGGGGGTAAATGAATCAATGCGTCTACTTGGACTTCCAAATACCCTTTCACAAGTTTCCATATGGTGATGAAATCACTTTAAATCTGTGCTCAAAAATAATTTTTAAGTGTGTTTAAACTATTTCATTTTAGATCATATATGAGTACTTTAGAGACAGTATAATAAAGTTTCACAATAACTGGAAAGTGATACAAAGAGGGCAAACTTTTCTTTCCAACAGATAATAAATATAAAAGTAAAAGACTATTGTTTCTTACCTTCTGGGAAGAAAGGAAAACTAAGAAACATCATGTAAATACTTTCTCCAACTGGGAGTTTCTTCCAACAGTTTTAAAAGAGGAAAATAGGCAGAAAGATAACAAAAACACTAAAGAGTCCCAAGCACAATTGCTAAGCATGCAATTGTGACGAGACACCTCTCACTAGAGAGACAAAGTTAACTGCTCTTAGATATTACAAGGATTTTTGATCACAACCTCCCTCCAAGCTCATTTAAAGTCCCTAAGATATAGCATACCACAGAAGAGCTGAGAAAAGTATTTTATTCAAGTGTGTTGCTTGAGGCTTGTAATGTCAATTACTTCATCCTCTCTGTCCCTATATTCAATTGATAATAAATACAGAACAAATGAAGATCAAAGTATCAGCTCTAAAAACGGTAGTTAGTACCCAATAACTCCCAAAAGATAGGGTTCCCCAGTAACCCTAACTTGGAAAACAAAGGTGGGACCTTTGTTTTCCAAGTTAGGGTTACTACTTGGACTAAGTAGTTTCCTGCCACTTCCCCGATTTAGACCTTGGGACTTATCTTGCCATGAGCTAGATATCCACAGTGCACTCTGAGTCTGTTTACCCAGGAAGATTATCAACCTGCCTGACAAAGCCAGTCATGAGGAGAAGGGAGAATGTCAGAGAGTGTGGTCGGCCTTCAGCCAAACCTCTAATGGGTTTTTAAACATAGAGGTAGGAAGCAGAAGAAAGCCCACTGTCCTTCTTAACTTTTGGGTTCTCTGGAAAGCAGACACTGAGATGGAGCTAGAAGTAAAAAAAGATTTATGGGGAGGTGAAACTTGGAAAAGAAAAAAGGAGGCAGGATTGGGTGGGAGAGCCATCACAGCACAATGCAAACCTAACAAATGCCTCTGCTAGATCAAAAAAGAGACTTGGAGCAAAGATTGACCATTACAGTGTGCTGCTTTGGGCAGAAATGGCTAAGCCCTGAACTGCCAACTTGCTTGGTCATTGGCTTGGTCACCCCACAAATACCATGACCTCACCTCAAAAGCTGAAGAAGATTCTAAAGGAGATCAGAGGTGGAAGCTGTCAGTTAATCAAACTCCTGAGAGCCAATAACTGTTTCTCCATTTTAATTAATTAACTTAATCAACAAGTGAAAATTATATATGCTTAAGGTGTACAATGTGATGTTTTGATATATGTATACATTGTGGAGTAGTTAAATTTGGGATAAAATCCTAGGCATTACCTTGCATATTTATTTTCTTATGGTGAGAACACTTGTAATCTACTCTCTTAGCAACTTTCAAGCACACACTACGTTGTTACTAACTACAGTCAACATGTTGTACAATAGAGTCCTTGAACTTATACCTCCTAACTAAAATTTTATAACGTTTGACTAATATCTCTCTAATCCCTCATCCCACTCCCCACGACCATCCACCCACTAGCTCCTAGTAACCAGAGTTTGCTTCTGTGGAAATATACATATATGATAGACGTATTTTCCTTCTGGCCCTCTGAATTTGACAAGCTTGAGCCTGACTTATTGGTTAAAACAGTCTATTATTTTGATGCCATCTTGCCATCACGTTGTTGGTTGGTTTCTTTGAGGAATAGTGACATTCTGATGTCTCAACATTGGTCTCTTTTGCTGCAGGGTTAGAGGCAGCTATAACTAAATTGGCCTTTGTGAGTGGGAGTCCATGCTGTTGATTTCATGCAGAGTCTCATCTTTGCCATCATGGCTTCTTCATCTGTTTGCCCATCATACCAGCTCTGGGGTGGCTGCTGAAAAACTGTCTAACACAGCAAGCCAGATTGTTTTGTCTACTTAGTTGTTTAGAGCTTCTTCCATGGTGGATGCTTTCTAGTGCGAGTTAACATAATGATGCAATGATCTTCACACTTGTGTCCACTCTCATATGGCCATCCATATGCTTCTACTTTGATTCTCCTTGTTTTGATCTTCCAGTTTTTCTTCTTTCAGGTTATTGACCAGTTCATCAGGCCATTCACCACTGCTGATTAGTCCATATATATTCCTTGGAATATATTAGTCCACATGTATTCGTTGGAATATATTATATATGAACTAATTGGCAGTGGTGAATGGCCTGATAACTTTTCTTTCCCCACAGCAGATGTTCAGGTGCATCACCTAAAGCTCAGTCTATTCAGCAGACGTTCTTGCCATTGTCTCTGAAAGCATCCCCAAGTGGAGCTGTAGTGCAGCTAACGTTTCATTTTTGGTTTTAATCCACATAGCAATCATCCATCCATCAACCAAGCTCAGGTGTTTTCCTCCTCCTTCAGCCACAGGTGGGAGATGAGTGGGGCACTGATGCACCTATGGTAGGTGAAATGGGGGTCTGGGCTTCTTGCTCATGCAAGTTGCTTATGTCCTCTTGTACTCATGTTCATTTTAGGATGCACCATCTCAATCTTACAATAGATTGCAGCTGGTCCCCACTAATTTCTCTTTGTTGAATTGGACAGTCTTGATTCTGACCTCCAACTTGAAACAGTCTACTTTCTTGGTGTTTGTAATGTCATGTTTTCTTGTTATTTTTTTTTTGTTTTATATCTATTACTCTTCTCACCCCTTAAATGCTGGTGCTTCATAGATATCTACCCTTGGCCCATTTGTTTCCTCATTCTTTATATATGCTTTCATAGTTTTTTGAGCTGGGGGGATTATGTAAAACTTAAGTTTGGAGTAAAAAAAAAATCGAGTGTAAACTTCAGCTATTCTATTTACTAGCAGTTTGACTTTATGTAAAAAGTTAAACCCTTCTGAACATCAATTTTTCAATCTTATTAGTGAGAATCAAATGGGACAATATTTGCAAAGAGCTTAGCATGAGATTTGCCACAAAATAACTAGTCTTTGATGGCAACTACTCATTATAATACATTATTTAACTACTGTCATGTCTATAATCACATCCCAGACCTCTGCTTTAAACCTTGATCATCTGTATCTTCTTTTCTTGATGACTGACTGATAGGCAGTCAGTCAATCTCAGCATGTTGGTGTTTGAACTTATCACCTGCCTATATATGTATGCTACTTCTTCTGCATTCTGTCTTTTTGGCAGCTCCACCATCCACCCAGTCAAGCTTGTTGTAAATCTTACCTCCATCTTTTCCATCATCCCAATCTAATAAATTATTTTTACTTACTAAATATATACCAAATCTATCTACCCTTTTCCAGGGAAGGAAGGTGATAGTGGAGGTAGAACTTTAAACTTGCTAACTAAAGGAAATTAGAATATTAGAATATTCTTTTAAAAATATATTTTCTATCTAACTCAGGTTGTTCAAGGGGAAAGTAGTGTTTTCTGTCCACTTCCCCTCCTTAGTCATGATGTCTTACGAGTATAGAGAAGGGCTCACACGTCCTCACAGAGGCAGTATGGAGCTCATACCTTGATGCTCCCCTTTGTGTCCTTCACTAGAATCTGATATTATTTGGTCAATATTGTTTTGACCCTGGACATCTTATGCTAGTGCATTTTGAAGTGCAACTGGTTGAATCTAATTTTTGTTAGAGTTTGATGCTGGGCTCCACAGTTTCTGCTGCAGTGTTTGGTAATAAGTTTCCTGTGATTTTGGTCTCCTCACTGATTCCACTCTCAGCCCCGTCTGATTCGTGCACACCTTGAGAAGTTTAGTAATTGCAGCCACCCTCTGTAAACCATGCATACATGTGAAGGGCCCTTTGAGGATATTCTCTGTCTGATCTAACTGGACACTTTTCTCACACATTTTTCAGCAACCACCTGGGCACTATCATTTCTCTCTATACTATGCTAAATACAGCTCTTCGCCACAAGATTTACAAAATATTCTCTGTCTATGCTCTGAAAAGTATAAAAGTACACCCTTCTCCCTCTGCTAATCTCTGAGAATTTTCCACAAACCTATTTAGATGTTATTCACATAGTGCCTTTCCTCAAGGTTCAACTGCACAGGCAAGAGGAAAGCAAGTAAGAATGCTTTCTGAGCTGCTGTTTCTCTCTTTCTGTTTTCCTGCCAGCCTTTATTAGAAAAAAAAAAAATCCCTCCTCTCTAAATTACCAATAATGGCAGAAGTCAATATTCCAACATCTAAGACTTATTTTTGAGCCATGCAGTTCACTTTTGGAATTTAGAACCTTAGAATTTCTGTTCTCAAAGCTTGACTCTCAAGATTGTCCAATCTGCATGGACTGAACAAAGTCAGGCTAGAGATAAGCAGTTGAAGGAGGGCCTATTTCTACCTGCTTTTCTACTTTAATAATCTGCTTTTAGCTGGAAAAGGAATTAATTATGTGCAATAAAGTGGAAAATATAAAAATCACGTTAGTAATATGCTACCCTTCACTTTGCAAGATATTTTCCGTGTTCCTCCTCTGATGTACTCTTCATCCTTTCTATGTCCCAGATGAGTAACTTCATATGCTTCCTTACGCTCTTTTGCCTTTATGCTTCAGGTTGGGGTCAGTCAATGAGAGGCACAGGTAGGAGATTTAATGTAGGAGGTGAATAAGTTCAGGATTTTTTTTTTTTTTTGAGACGAAGTCTCGCTCTTGTTCCCCAAGCTGGAGTGCGATGGCGTGATCTCGGCTCACTGAAACCTCCGCCTCCCGGGTTCAAGCGATTCTCCTGCCTTGGCCCCCTGAGTAGCTGGGACTACAGGCACCTGCGACCACGCCCGGCTAATGTTTGTATTTTTAGTAGAGACGGGGTTTCACCATGTTGGCCAGGCTGGTCTAGAACTCCTGACCTCAGGTGACCCACCAGCGTAGACCTTCCAAAGTGCTGGGATTACAGGATTGAGCCACCACAACTGGCCAAGTTCAGGATTTTTATTCTCCCAGCTTCCCACATACCTCTGCCTAAGGCCACAGCTCCTACCCAGTAGCTCCCTTGCATAACCATAGCTCACCATCACAATTCCAGCAACTTCCTCTTTGTATCTTCAGACCTAGGGAGGGTAACATCTCACCTCTCACTAACTCTCCAATGATACAGCATGCCTTGCTTATTTCCCTTAGCTTTTGGTAAATAAACCCTTAATTAAATTTTCTTCAATTGCCCCAGTAAGTGTGACATTTACTTCTCTCAACACCATTACTGATAAATCCATTATATCCATATGATTTTATATCAGCATGACTTATTTCTCCAATTAGATTAGATAATTACTTAAAGGCAGAAATTCTAATTCCTAAAACTCTCTTTTATCTGCTCCTTCCATCACAAGGAAGCACTAAATGCTTTCTGAATGTATTCATTTAATCATTAGCTCTATGTAATGGACACTATTTTAGGCAACATGGATACAGTGGTGAATAAGGTGGAATAGTTTTTTTCCTTATGGAGTCTATAGTCTCCTGGCTCTGTAACAATTTTTCCCACAATAGGTTGCAATTTTTAATGAACCAAATGTGTAACTAGTTATTCGCTGTCCTGGTCATACCCCTTCTACACAAATCTGCTGCACAGACATGCCATGTGGCTATGATAAGGCAGAGCCCATGTGTATGCTGAAATTTGAGCATTCAAAAGCTCTGATTAAGCAGTAGAAGCTTGTTAGTATAATTATAGAGCAGAGTATAGAAAGAAATAGGCATAGAAAGAATTATGGATGCCATGATTAATTGAGAGACCATTTTGCCTTGGTTCTGATTAGAGTTCCCATGAAGCCCTATTCTACTTTGGTTTCCATTCTTAACTTCTTGAGAGTTCTATGTTGACATTTTTCCAAAAAAAAGTTTCCTTTGTTTGGAATTGTGTAAGTAGCTGTTAGTTCTTTACAACCAAATGAGTTTGGGAAAACATGCTCTCTTCCCTCTATGGACTGTGAGTTTTGTATTGCTGCTGCTGATGGCATCACTAAGCACCTGGAGGAGCAAACTGAACCAACAGAAGGGCAGCTTCACTTTCCTTACGGTGTCCAGTGAAGGCTTGGTTTGCAGATGAAGCCATTGCTTCCATTGTCTGTCACTGCACTGCTCTCAGGCTAGGCTTTTAGG